>NT_113948.1:0-92689 GCF_000001405.40 Homo sapiens | reverse complement strand
ATCTTCACACACAAACTAGCCAGAAGCATTCCCAGAAACTTCTTTGTGATGTGTGCGTTGAACCCAGAGAGATGAACCTTTCCTTTGATAGAGCAGTTTTGAAACGTGTTTTTGTAAGATCTGCAAGCGGATAATTGGCTTCGCTTTGTGTCCTTTGGTGGAAACGGGAATATCTTCTAATAAAAACTAGACAGAAATATTCTCAGAATCTCCTTTGTGATGTGGGCATTCAACTAACACAGTTGAACATTTCTTTTCACAGAGCAGTTTTGAAACACTCTTTTGGTAGAATCTGCCAGTGGATATTTGGAGCGCTTGGAGGGCTATTGTGCCAATGGAAATATCTGCCCCTGAAAACTAGACAGAAGCATTCTCAGAAACTACTTCGTGATGTTTGCATTCAACTCACAGAGTTGAACATACCTCTTCATAGAGCAGTTTTGAAAACCTCTTTCTGTAGAATCTGCAAGTGGATATTCGGACCACTTTGAGGCCTTCATAGGAAACAGTAATATCTTCACATAAAAACTAGATAGAAGCATTGTCAGAAAGTTCTTTGTGATGTGTGAATTCAACTCACAGAGTTGAACCTTCCTTTAATAGAGCAGTTTTGAAACACTCTTTTTCTAGAATCTGCAAGTAGATATTTGGAGCGCTTTGAGGCCTTCGTTGGAAACCGGAATATCTTCACAGGAAAAGTAGACAGAGGTATTCTCAGAAACTTTTTTGTGATATGTAGATTCAACTCACAGCGTTGAACCTTTCTTTGGATGGAGCAGTTTTGAAAAACTCTTTTATCGAATCTGCAGGTAGACATTTGGGGTGCTTTGAGGGCTGTGGTGCAAAAGGAAATGTCTTCCCATAGAAACTAGACTGAAGCATTCTCAGCAACTTCTTTGTGACGTTTGCATGCATCTCACAGTGTTGAACATACCTTTCCATCGAGTAGTTTTGAAACACTGTTTTTGTAGAATCTGCAAGTGGATATTTGGACTGCTTTGAGGCCTTCATCGGAAACGGGAATATCTTCACATAAACACTAGAGAGAAGCATTCTCAGAAACTTCTTTGTCATCTGTCCATTCAACTCACAGAGTTGAACCTTCCTTTTTCTGGAGCAGTTTTGAAACACTCTTTTTGGAGAATCTGCAAGTGGATATTTGGAGCGATTTGAGGCCTATGGTAGAAAAAGAAATATCTGCCCCTAAAAACCAGACAGAAGCATTCCGAGAAACTTCTTTGTGATGTTTGCATTCAACTAGCAGAGTTGAACCTTCCTTTTGATAGGGCAGTTTGGAAACACTCTTTTTGTAGAATCTGCATGTGGATATCTGGAGCGGTTTGAGGCCTACGGTCAAAAAGGAAATATCTTCCTGGGAAAAATAGACGAAAGCATTCTCAGAAACTGCTTTGTGATATGTGCATTCGACTCACCGAGTTGAAACTTTTTTTTGATAGAGCAGTTTTGAAACACTCTGTAGAATCTGAAAGTGGATATTTGGAGCTCTTTGAGGGCTATGGCGGAAAAGAAAATATATTCACATTAAACTAGAGAGGAGCATTCTCAGAAACCTCTTTAGGATGTTTTCAGTAAACTCACAGAGTTGAACATACCTTTCCGTAGAGCAGTTTTGAAACACTCTGTTTGTGGGATCCGCAAGTGGATATTTGGACCGCTTTGAGACCTTTGCTGGAAATGGGAATATCTTCACATATAAACTAGACAGAAGCATTCTCAGAAACTTCTTCGTGATGTGTGCATTCTCCTCCCGAATTTGAATCTTCCTATTCATGAAGCAGTTTTGAAACACTCTGTTTGTGCAATCCACAATTGGATAATTGGAACGCTTTGATGCCCATGGTAGAAAAGGAAATATCCTCATATAAAAACTAGACAGAAGGATTCACAGAAAATGCTTTGTGATGTGTGCATTCAAATCACGGAGTTGAATCTTTCTTTTGTTAGAGCAGTTTTGAAACACTGTTTCTGTGGAATCTGCCAGCGGACACTTGGAGCGCTTTGAGGGCTGTGGTGGAGAAGGAAATATCTTCCCATAAAAACTAGAAAGAAGCATTCTCAGAAACATTTATGTGAAGCGTGCATTCAACTCACAGAGTTGAACCTTCCTTTTGATACAACAGTTTTGAAACACTCTTTTGAACAATTGCAGGTGAATCTTTGGAGCGCTTTGAAGCATTTGTTCGAAATGGGAATATCTTCACACACAAACTAGCCAGAAGCATTCCCAGAAACTTCTTTGTGATGTGTGCGTTGAACCCAGAGAGATGAACCTTTCCTTTGATAGAGCAGTTTTGAAACGTGTTTTTGTAAGATCTGCAAGCGGATAATTGGCTTCGCTTTGTGTCCTTTGGTGGAAACGGGAATATCTTCTAATAAAAACTAGACAGAAATATTCTCAGAATCTCCTTTGTGATGTGGGCATTCAACTAACACAGTTGAACATTTCTTTTCACAGAGCAGTTTTGAAACACTCTTTTGGTAGAATCTGCCAGTGGATATTTGGAGCGCTTGGAGGGCTATTGTGCCAATGGAAATATCTGCCCCTAAAAACTAGACAGAAGCATTCTCAGAAACTACTTCGTGATGTTTGCATTCAACTCACAGAGTTGAACATACCTCTTCATAGAGCAGTTTTGAAAACCTCTTTCTGTAGAATCTGCAAGTGGATATTCGGACCACTTTGAGGCCTTCATAGGAAACAGTAATATCTTCACATAAAAACTAGATAGAAGCATTGTCAGAAAGTTCTTTGTGATGTGTGAATTCAACTCACAGAGTTGAACCTTCCTTTAATAGAGCAGTTTTGAAACACTCTTTTTCTAGAATCTGCAAGTAGATATTTGGAGCGCTTTGAGGCCTTCGTTGGAAACCGGAATATCTTCACAGGAAAAGTAGATAGAGGCATTCTCAGAAACTTTTTTGTGATATGTAGATTCAACTCACAGCGTTGAACCTTTCTTTGGATGGAGCAGTTTTGAAAAACTCTTTTATCGAATCTGCAGGTAGACATTTGGGGTGCTTTGAGGGCTGTGGTGCAAAAGGAAAAGTCTTCCCATAGAAACTAGACTGAAGCATTCTCAGCAACTTCTTTGTGACGTTTGCATTCATCTCACAGTGTTGAACATACCTTTCCATCGAGTACTTTTGAAACACTGTTTTTGTAGAATCTGCAAGTGGATATTTGGACTGTTTTGAGGCCTTCATCGGAAACGGGAATATCTTCACATAAACACTAGAGAGAAGCATTCTCAGAAACTTCTTTGTAATCTGTCCATTCAACTCACAGAGTTGAACCTTCCTTTTTCTGGAGCAGTTTTGAAACACTCTTTTTGGAGAATCTGCAAGTGGATATTTGGAGCGTTTTGAGGTCTATGGTAGAAAAAGAAATATCTGCCACTAAACACCAGACAGAAGCATTCCGAGAAACTTCTTTGTGATGTTTGCATTCAACTAGCAGAGTTGAACCTTCCTTTTGATAGGGCAGTTTGGAAACACTCTTTTTGTAGAATCTGCATGTGGATATCTGGAGCGGTTTGAGGCCTACGGTCAAAAAGGAAATATCTTCCTGGGAAAAATAGACGAAAGCATTCTCAGAAACTGCTTTGTGATATGTGCATTCGACTCACTGAGTTGAAACTTTTTTTTGATAGAGCAGTTTTGAAACACTCTGTAGAATCTGAAAGTGGATATTTGGAGCTCTTTGAGGGCTATGGCGGAAAAGAAAATATATTCACATTAAACTAGAGAGGAGCATTCTCAGAAACCTCTTTAGGATGTTTGCAGTAAACTCACAGTGTTGAACATACCTTTCCGTAGAGCAGTTTTGAAACACTCTGTTTGTGGGATCCGCTAGTGAATATTTGGACCGCTTTGAGACCTTTGCTGGAAATGGGAATATCTTCACATATAAACTAGACAGAAGCATTCTCAGAAACTTCTTCGTGATGTGTGCATTCTCCTCCCGAATTTGAATCTTCCTTTTCATGAAGCAGTTTTGAAACACTCTGTTTGTGCAATCCACAATTGGATAATTGGAACGCTTTGATGCCCATGGTAGAAAAGGAAATATCCTCATATAAAAACTAGACAGAAGGATTCACAGAAAATGCTTTGTGATGTGTGCATTCAAATCACGGAGTTGAATCTTTCTTTTGTTAGAGCAGTTTTGAAACACTGTTTCTGTGGAATCTGCCAGCGGACACTTGGAGCGCTTTCAGGGCTGTGGTGGAGAAGGAAATATCTTCCCATAAAATCTAGAAAGAAGCATTCTCAGAAACATTTATGTGAAGCGTGCATTCAACTGACAGAGTTGAACCTTCCTTTTGATACAACAGTTTTGAAACACTCTTTTGAACAATTGCAGGTGAATCTTTGGAGCGCTTTGAAGCCTTTGTTGGAAATGGGAATATCTTCACACACAAACTAGCCAGAAGCATTCTAAGAAACTTCTTTGTGATGTGTGCGATGAACCCAGAGAGATGAACCTTTCCTTTGATAGAACAGTTTTGAAAACTGTTTTTGTGAGATCTGCAAGCGGATAATTGGCTTCCCTTTGTGTCCTCTGGTGGAAATGTGAATATCTTGTAATAAAAACTAGACAGAAATATTCTCAGAATCTTCTTTGTGATGTGGGTATTCAACTAACACAGTTGAACATTTCTTTTGACAGAGCAGTTTTGAAACACACTTTTAGTAGAATCTGCCAGTTGATATTTGGGGCGCTTTGAGGGCTATTGTGCAAATGGAAATATCTTCACCTAAATACTAGACAGAAGCATTCTCAGAAACTACGTTGTGATGTTTGCATTCAACTCACAGTGTTGAACATACCTCTTCATAGAGCAGTTTTGAAAACCTCTTTTGGTAGAATCTGCAAGTGGATATTTTGACCACTTTGAGGCCTTCATAGGAAACAGTAATATCTTCACATAAAACTAGATGGAAGCATTCTCAGAAACTTCTTTGTGATGTGTGAATTCAACTCACAGAGTTGAACCTTCCTTTAACAGAGCAGCTTTGAAACACTCTTTTTGTAGAATCTGCAAGTAGATATTTGGAGCGCTTTGAGGCCTTCGTTGGAAACGGGAATGTCTTCACATAAAAAGTAGATAGAGGCATTCTCAGAAACTTTTTTGTGATATGTAGATTCAGTTCACAGCGTTGAACCTTTCTTTTGATAGAGCAGTTTTGAAAAACTCTTTTATTGAGTCTGCAAGTAGACATTTGGAGTTCTTTGAGGGCTGTGGTCGAAAAGGAAATATCTTCACATAGAAACTAGACTGAAGCATTCTCAGCAACTTCTTTGTGACGTTTGAATTCATCTCACAGTGTTGAACATACCTTTTCATAGAGCAGTTTTGAAACACTATTTTTGTAGAATCTGCAATTGGATATTTGGACTGCGTTGAGCCCCTCACTGGAAACGGGAATATCTTCACATAAAAACTAGACAGTTGTATTCTCAGAAACTTCCTTGTGATCTGTCCATTAAACTCACAGAGTTGAACCTTCCGTTTTATGGAGCCGTTTTGAAACACTGTTTTTGTAGAATCTGCAAGTGGATATTTGGAGCGCTTTGAGGCCTAAGGTAGAAAAAGAAATATCTGCATATCAAAACTAGACAGAAGCGTTCTCAGAAACTTCTTTGTGATGTTTGCATTCAACTACCAGAGTTGAACCTTCCTTTTGATAGAGCAGTTTTGAAGCGCTCTTTTTGTAGAATCTGCACGTGGATATCTGGAGCGATTTTTGAGGCCTACGTCCAAAAAGGAAATATCTTCCTATGAAAAATAGACAAAAGCATTCTCAGAAACTACTTTGTGTTATGTGCATTCAACTCACAGAGTAGAACCTTTTTTTTGATAGAGCCGTTTTGAAATGCTCTGTAGAAACTGAAAGTGGATATTTGGAGCTATTTGAGGGCTATGGTGGAAAAGAAAATATATTCACATTAAACTAGACAGAAGCATTCTCAGAAACTTCTTTATGATGTTTGCATTAAACTCACAGAGTTGAACATACCTTTCCATAGAGCAGTTTTGAAACACTCTTTTTGTGGAATCCGCAAGTGGATATTTGTACCGCTTTGAGACCTTCGCTGGAAATGGGAATATCTTCACATATAAACTATACAGAAGCATTCTCAGAAACTTCTTCGTGATGTGTGCATTCTACTACCAAAGTTCAACATTCCTTTTCATAAAGCAGTTTTGAAACACTCCTTTTGTACAATCTACAATTGGATAATTGGAACGCTTTGATGCCCGTGGAAGAAAAGGAAATCTCCTCATATAAAAACTAGACAGAAGGATTCACAGAAACTGCTTTGTGATGTCAGCATTCAAATCACGGAGTTGAACCTTTCTTTTGTTAGAGCAGTTTTGAAACGCTGTTTCTGTGGAATCTGCCAGTGGACATTTGGAGCCCATTGAGGGCAATTGTGGAGAAGGAAATATCTTACATAAAAACTAGAAAGAAGCATTCTGAGAAACATCTATGTGATGTGTGCATTCAACTCACGGAGTTGAACCTTCCTTTTGATAGAACAGTTTTGAAACATTCTTTTGTACAATTTCAGGTGAATATTTGGAGCGCCTTTAAGCCTTTGTTGGAAATGGGAATATCTTCACATACAAACTAGCCAGAAGCATTCTCAGAAACTTCTTTTTGATGTGTGCATTGAACCCAGAGAGATGAACCTTTCCTTTGATAGAGCAGTTTTGAAACGTGTTTTTGTAAGATCTGCAAGTGGATATTTGGGGCGCTTTGAGTCCTTTGGTGGAAACGGGAATATCTTCTAATAAAAACTAGACCGAAATATTCTCAGAATCTTCTTTGTGATGTGGGCATTCAACTAACACAGTTGAACATTTCTTTTGACAGAGCAGTTTTGAAACACACTTTTAGTAGAATCTGCCAGTGGATATTTGGAGCGCTTTGAGGGCTATTGTGCAAATGGAAATATCTTCACCTAAATACTAGACAGAAGCATTCTCAGAAACTACGTTGTGATGTTTGCATTCAACTCACAGAGTTGAACATACCTCTTCATAGAGCACTTTTGAAAACCTCTTTTGGTAGAATCTGCAAGTGGATATTTGGACCACTTTGAGGCCTTCATAGGAAACAGTAATATCTTCACATAAAAACTAGATGGAAGCATTCTCAGAAACTTCTTTGTGATGTGTGAATTCAACTCACAGAGTTGAACCTTCCTTTAACAGAGCAGTTTTGAAACACTCTTTTTGTAGAATCTGCAAGTAGATATTTGGAGTGCTTTGAGGCCTTCGTTGGAAACGGGAATGTCTTCACATAAAAAGTAGATAGAGGCATTCTCAGAAACTTTTTTGTGATATGTAGATTCAGTTCACAGCGTTGAACCTTTCTTTTGATAGAGCAGTTTTGAAAAATTCTTTTGTCGAATCTGCAAGTAGACATTTGGAGTGCTTTGAAGGCTGTGGTCGAAAAGGAAATATCTTCACATAGAAACTAGACTGAAGCATTCTCAGCAACTTCTTTGTGACGTTTGAATTCATCTCACAGTGTTGAACATACCTTTTCATAGAGCAGTTTTGAAACACTATTTTTGTAGAATCTGCAATTGGATATTTGGACTGCGTTGAGCCCCTCACTGGAAATGGGAATATCTTCACGTAAAAACTAGACAGATGTATTCTCAGAAACTTCCTTGTGATCTGTCCATTAAACTCACAGAGTTGAACCTTCCGTTTTATGGAGCCGTTTTGAAACACTGTTTTTGTAGAATCTGCAAGTGGATATTTGGCGCGCTTTGAGGCCTAAGGTAGAAAAAGAAATATCTGCATATAAAAACTAGACAGAAGCGTTCTCAGAAACTTCTTTGTGATGTTTGCATTCAACTACCAGAGTTGACCCTTCCTTTTGATAGAGGAGTTTTGAAACGCTCTTTTTGTAGAATCTGCACGTGGATATCTGGAGCGATTTTTGAGGCCTACGTCCAAAAAGGAAATATCTTCCTATGAAAAATAGACAAAAGCATTCTCAGAAACTACTTTGTGTTATGTGCATTCAACTCACAGAGTAGAACCCTTTTTTTGATAGAGCCGTTTTGAAACGCTCTGTAGTAACTGAAAGTGGATATTTGGAGCTATTTGAGGGCTATGGTGGAAAAGAAAATATATTCACATTAAACTAGACAGAAGCATTCTCAGAAACTTCTTTATGATGTTTGCATTAAACTCACAGAGTTGAACATACCTTTCCATAGAGCAGTTTTGAAACACTCTTTTTGTGGAATCCGCAAGTGGATATTTGTACCGCTTTGAGACCTTCGCTGGAAATGGGAATATCTTCACATATAAACTATACAGAAGCATTCTCAGAAACTTCTTCGTGATGTGTGCATTCTACTACCAAAGTTCAACATTCCTTTTCATAAAGCAGTTTTGAAACACTCCTTTTGTACAATCTACAATTGGATATTTGGAACGCTTTGATGGCCGTGGTAGAAAAGGAAATCTCCTCATATAAAAACTAGACAGAAGGATTCACAGAAAATGCTTTGTGATGTCAGCATTCAAATCACAGAGTTGAACCTTTCTTTTGTTAGAGCAGTTTTGAAACGCTGTTTCTGTGGAATCTGCCAGTGGACATTTGGAGCCCATTGAGGGCAATTGTGGAGAAGGAAATATCTTCACATAAAAACTAGAAAGAAACATTCTGAGAAACATCTATGTGAAGTGTGCATTCAACTCACGGAGTTGAACCTTCCTTTTGATAGAACAGTTTTGAAACATTCTTTTGTACAATTTCAGGTGAATATTTGGAGCGCCTTTAAGCCTTTGTTGGAAATGGGAATATCTTCACATACAAACTAGCCAGAAGCATTCTCAGAAACTTCTTTGTGATGTGTGCATTGAACCCAGAGAGATGAACCTTTCCTTTGATAGAGCAGTTTTGAAACGTGTTTTTGTAAGATCTGCAAGTGGATATTTGGGGCGCTTTGAGTCCTTTGGTGGAAACGGGAATGTCTTCTAATAAAAACTAGACCGAAATATTCTCAGAATCTTCTTTGTGATGTGGGCATTCAACTAACACAGTTGAACATTTCTTTTGACAGAGCAGTTTTGAAACACACTTTTAGTAGAATCTGCCAGTTGATATTTGGGGCGCTTTGAGGGCTATTGTGCAAATGGAAATATCTTCACCTAAATACTAGACAGAAGCATTCTCAGAAACTACGTTGTGATGTTTGCATTCAACTCACAGAGTTGAACATACCTCTTCATAGAGCAGTTTTGAAAACCTCTTTTGGTAGAATCTGCAAGTGGATATTTTGACCACTTTGAGGCCTTCATAGGAAACAGTAATATCTTCACATATAAACTAGATGGAAGCATTCTCAGAAACTTCTTTGTGGTGTGTGAATTCAACTCACAGAGTTGAACCTTCCTTTAGCAGAGCAGTTTTGAAACACTCTTTTTGTAGAATCTGCAAGTAGATATTTGGAGCGCTTTGAGGCCTTCGTTGGAAAACGGAATGTCTTCACATAAAAAGTAGATAGAGGCATTCTCAGAAACTTTTTTGTGATATGTAGATTCAGTTCACAGCGTTGAACCTTTCTTTTGATAGAGCAGTTTTGAAAAACTCTTTTATCGAGTCTGCAAGTAGACATTTGGAGTGCTTTGAGGGCTGTGGTCGAAAAGGAAATATCTTCACATAGAAACTAGACTGAAGCATTCTCAGCAACTTCTTTGTGACGTTTGAATTCATCTCACAGTGTTGAACATACCTTTTCATAGAGCAGTTTTGCAACACTATTTTTGTAGAATCTGCAATTGGATATTTGGACTGCGTTGAGCCCCTCACTGGAAACGGGAATATCTTCACATAAAAACTAGACAGAAGGATTCTCAGAAACTTCCTTGTGATCTGTCCATTCAACACACAGAGTTGAACTTTCCTTTTTATGGAGCCGTTTTGAAACACTGTTTTTGTAGAATCTGCAAGTGGATATTTGGAGCGCTTTGAGGCCTAAGGTAGAAAAAGAAATATCTGCATATCAAAACTAGACAGAAGCATTCTCAGAAACTTCTTTGTGATGTTTGCATTCAACTACCAGAGTTGAACCTTCCTTTTGATAGAGCAGTTTTGAAACGCTCTTTTTGTAGAATCTGCATGTGGATACCTGGAACGATTTTTGAGACCTATGTCTCAAAAGGAAATATCTTCCTATGAAAAATAGACAAAAGCATTCTCAGAAACTACTTTGTGTTATGTGCATTCAACTCACAGAGTACAACCTTTTTTTTGATAGAGCAGTTTTGAAACACTCTGTAGAATCTGAAAGTGGATATTTGGAGCTCTTTGAGGGCTATGGTGGAAAAGAAAATATATTCACATTAAACTAGCCAGAAGCATTCTCAGAAACTTCTTTATGATGTTTGCATTAAACTCACAGAGTTGAACATACCTTTCCATAGAGCAGTTTTGAAACACTCTTTTTGTGGAATCCGCAAGCGGATATTTGGACCGCTTTGAGACCTTCGCTGGAAATGGGAATGTCTTCACATATAAACTAGACAGAACCATTCTCAGAAACTGCTACGTGATGTGTGCATTCAACTCACAGAGTTGAACCTTCCTTTTCATAAAGCAGTTTTGAAACACTCCTTTTGTACAATCTACAATTGGATATTTGGAACGCTTTGATGCCCGTGGTAGAAAAGGAAATCTCCTCATATAAAAACTAGACAGAAGGATTCACAGAAACTGCTTTGTGATGTGTGCATTCAAATCACGGAGTTGGACCTTTCTTTTGTTAGAGCAGTTTTGAAACACTGTTTCTGTGGAATCTGCCAGCGGACATTTGGAGCGCATTGAGGGCTATGGTGGAGAAGGAAATATCTTCACAGAAAAACTAGAAAGAAGCATTCTCAGAAACATCTCTGTGAAGTGTGCATTCAACTCACAGAGTTGAACCTTCCTTTTGACAGAACAGTTTTGAAACACACTTTTGTACAATTGCAGGTGAATATTTGGAGCGCCTTGAAGCCTTTTTTGGAAGTGGGAATATCTTCACATACAAACTAGCCAGAAGCATTCTCAGAAACTTCTTTGTGATGTGTGCATTGAACCCAGAGAGATGAACCATTCCTTTGATAGAGCAGTTTTGAAACGTGTTTCTGTAAGATCTGCAAGTGGATATTTGGGACGCTTTGAGTCCTTAGGTGGAAACGGGAATATCTTCTAATAAAAACTAGACAGAAATATTCTCAGAATCTTCTTTGTGATGTGGGCATTCAACTAACACAGTTGAACATTTCTTGTGACAGAGCAGTTTTGAAACACTCTTTTTGTAGAATCTGCCAGTGGATATTTGGAGCGCTTTGAGGGCTTTGTACAAATGGAAAAGTCTTCACCTAAAAACTAGACAGAAGCATTCTCAGAAACTGCTTTGTGATGTTTGCATTCAACTCACAGAGTTGAACATACCTCTTCATAGAGCAGTTTTGAAAACCTCTTTTTGTAGAATCTGCAAGTGGATATTTAGACCACTTTGAGGCCTTCATAGAAAACAGTAATATCTTCACATAAAGACTAGATGGAAGCATTCTCGGAAACTTCTTAGTGATGTGTGAATTCAACTCACAGAGTTGAACCTTCGTTAAATAGAGCAGTTTTGAAACACTCTTTTTGTAGAATCTGCAATAGATATTTGGAGCGCTTTGAGGCCTTCGTTGGAAACCGGAATGTCTTCACATAAAAAGTAGATAGAGGCATTCTCAGAAACTTTTTTGTGATATGTAGATTCAACTGACAGCGTTGAACCTTTCTTTTGATTGAGCTGTTTTGAAAAACTCTTTTATCGAATCTGTAAGTAGACATTTGGAGTGCTTTGAGGGCTGTGGTCGAAAAGGAAATATCTTCCCATAGAAACTAGACTGAAGCATTCTCAACAACTTCTTTGTGTCGTTTGCATTCATCTCACAGTGTTGAACATACCTTTTCATAGAGCAGTTTTGAAACACTCTTTTTGTAGAATCTGCAATTGGATATTTGGACTGCGTTGAGGCCTCCACTGGAAACGGGAATATCTTCACATAAACACTAGACAGAAGCATTCTCAGAAACTTCTTTGTGATCTGTCCATTCAACTCACACAGTTGAACCTTCCTTTTTATGGAGCCGTTTTGAAACACTGTTTTTGTAGAATCTGCAAGTGGATATTTGGAGCGCTTTGAGGCCTAAGGTAGAAAAAGAAATATCTGCATATCAAAACTAGACAGAGGCATTCTCAGAAACTTCTTTGTGATGTTTGCATTCAACTACCAGAGTTGAACCTTCCTCTTGATAGAGCAGTTTTGAAACACTCTTTTTGTAGAATCTGCATGTGGATATCTGGAGCGATTTTTGAGGCCTGTGGTCAAAAAGGAAATATCTTCCTATGAAAAATAAACAAAAGCATTCTCAGAAACTACTTTGTGTTATGTGCATTCCACTCAAAGAGTTGAAACTTTTTTTTGATAGAGCAGTTTTGAAACACTCTGTAGAATCTGAAAGTGGATATTTGGAGCTCTTTGAGGGCTATGGTAGAAAAGAAAATATATTCACATTAAACTAGACAGAAGCATTCTCAGAAACTTCTTTATGATGTTTGCATTAAACTCACAGAGTTGAACATACCTTTCCATAGAGCAGTTTTGAAACACTCTTTTTGTGGAATCCGTAAGTGGATATTTGTACCGCTTTGAGACCTTCGCTGGAAATGGGAATATTTTCACATATAAACTGGACAGAAGCATTCTCAGAAACTTCTTCGTGATGTGTGCATTCTACTCCCAAAGTTGAACCTTCCTTTTCATAAAGCAGTTTTGAAACACTCCTTTTGTACAATCTACAATTGGATAATTGGAACGCTTTGATGCCCGTGGAAGAAAAGGAAATCTCCTCATATAAAAACTAGACAGAAGGATTCACAGAAACTGCTTTGTGATGTGTGCATTCAAATCACGGAGTTGGACCTTTCTTTTGTTAGAGCAGTTTTGAAACACTGTTTCTGTGGAATCTGCCAGTGGACATTTGGAGCGCATTGAGGGCTATGGTGGAGAAGGAAATATCTTCACAGAAAAACTAGAAAGAAGCATTCTCAGAAACATCTATGTGAAGTGTGCATTCAACACACAGAGTTGAACCTTACTTTTGACAGAACAGTTTTGAAACACACTTTTGTACAATTGCAGGTGAATATTTGGAGCGCCTTGAAGCCTTTGTTGGAAGTGGGAATATCTTCACATACAAACTAGCCAGAAGCATTCTCAGAAACTTCTTTGTGATGTGTGCATTGAACCCAGAGAGATGAACCTTTCCTTTGATAGAGCAGTTTTGAAACGTGTTTCTGTAAGATCTGCAAATGGATATTTGGGGCGCTTTGAGTCCTTTTGTGGAAACGGGAATATCTTCTAATAAAAACTAGACAGAAATATTCTCATAATCTTCTTTGTGATGTGGGCATTCAACTAACACAGTTGAACATTTCTTGTGACAGAGCAGTTTTGAAACACTCTTTTTGTAGAATCTGCCAGTGGATATTTGGAGCGCTTTCAGGGCTATTGTACAAATGGAAAAGTCTTCACCTAAAAACTAGACAGAAGCATTCTCAGAAACTGCTTTGTGATGTTTGCATTCAACTCACAGAGTTGAACATACCTCTTCATAGAGTAGTTTTGAAATCCTCTTTCTGTAGAATCTGCAATTGGATATTCGGACCACTTTGAGGCCTTCATAGAAAACAGTAATATCTTCACATAAAAACTAGATGGAAGCATTCTCGGAAACTTCTTTGTGATGTGTGAATTCAACTCACAGAGTTGAACCTTCGATAAATAGAGCAGTTTTGAAACACTCTTTTTGTAGAATCTGCAATAGATATTTGGAGCGCTTTGAGGCCTTCGTTGGAAAACGGAATGTCTTCACATAAAAAGTAGATAGAGGCATTCTCAGAAACTTTTTTGTGATATATAGATTCAACTCACAGAGTTGAACATTTCTTTTGATAGAGCAGTTTTGAAAAACTCTTTTATCGAGTCTGCAAGTAGACATTTGGAGTGCTTTGAGGGCTGTGGTGCAAAAGGAAATGTCTTCACATGGAAACTATACTGAAGCATTCTCAGCAACTTCTTCGTGTCGTTTGCATTCATCTCACACTGTTGAACATACCTTTTCTTAGAGCAGTTTTGAAACATTCTTTTTGTAGAAACTGCAATTGGATATTTGGACTGCGTTGAGGCCTCCACTGGAAACGGGAATATCTTCACATAAACAATAGACAGAAGCATTCTCAGAAACTTCTCTGTGATCTGTCCATTCAACTCACACAGTTGAACCTTCCTTTTTATGGAGCCGTTTTGAAGCACTGTTTTTGTAGAATCTGCAAGTGGATATTTGGAGCGCTTTGAGGCCTATGGTAGAAAAAGAAATATCTGCATATAAAAACTAGACAGAAGCATTCTCAGAAACTTCTTTGTGATGTTTGCATTCAACAACCAGAATTGAACCTTCCTTTTGATAAAGCAGTTTTGAAACACTCTTTTTGTAGAATCTGCATGTGGATATCTGGAGCGATTTTTGAGTCCTATGGTCAAAAAGGAAATATCTTCCTGTGAAAAATAGACAAAAGCATTCCCAGAAACTACTTTGTGTTATGTGCATTCAACTCACAGAGTTGAACCTTTTTTTTGATAGAGCAGTTTTGAAACACTCTGTAGAATCTGAAAGTGGATATTTGGAGCTCTTTGAGGGCTATGGTAGAAAAGAAAATATATTCACATTAAACTAGACAGAAGCATTCTCTGAAACTTCTTTATGATGTTTGCATTAAACTCACAGAGTTGAACATACCTTTCCATAGAGCAGTTTTGAAACACTCTTTTTGTGGAATCCGCAAGTGGATATTTGGACCGCTTTGAGACCTTCGCTGGAAATGGGAATATCTTCACATATAAACTGGACAGAAGCATTCTCAGAAACTTCTTCGTGATGTGTGCATTCTACTCCCAAAGTTGAACCTTCCTTTTCATAAAGCATTTTTGAAACACTCCTTTTGTACAATCTACAATTGGATATTTGGAACGCTTTGATGCCCGTGGTAGAAAAGGAAATCTCCTCATATAAAAACTAGACAGAAGGATTCACAGAAACTGCTTTGTGACGTGTGCATTCAAATCACGGAGTTGGACCTTTCTTTTGTTAGAGCAGTTTTGAAACACTGTTTCTGTGGAATCTGCCAGTGGACATTTGGAGCGCATTGAGGGCTATGGTGGAGAAGGAAATATCTTCACAGAAAAACTAGAAAGAAGCATTCTCAGAAACACCTATTTGAAGTGTGCATTCAACTCACAGAGTTGAACCTTACTTTTGACAGAACAGTTTTGAAACTCACTTTTGTACAATTGCAGGTGAATATTTGGAGCGCCTTGAAGCCTTTGTTGGAAGTGGGAATATCTTCACATACAAACTAGCCAGAAGCATTCTCAGAAACTTTTTTGTGATGTGTGCATTGAACCCAGAGAGATGAACCTTTCCTTTGATAGAGCAGTTTTGAAACGTGTTTCTGTAAGATCTGCAAGTGGATATTTGGGGCACTTTGAGTCCTTTGGTGGAAACGGGAATATCTTCTAATAAAAACTAGACAGTAATATTCTCAGAATCTTCTTTGTGATGTGGGCATTCAACTAACAGAGTTGAACATTTCTTGTGACAGAGCAGTTTTGAAACACTCTTTTTGTAGAATCTGCCAGTGGATATTTGGAGCGCTTTGAGGGCTTTGTACAAATGGAAAAGTCTTCACCTAAAAACTAGACAGAAGCATTCTCAGAAACTGCTTTGTGATGTTTGCATTCAACTCACAGAGTTGAACATACCTCTTCATAGAGCAGTTTTGAAAACCTCTTTTTGTAGAATCTGCAAGTGGATATTTGGACCACTTTGAGGCCTTCATAGAAAACAGTAATATCCTCACATAAAAACTAGATGGAAGCATTCTCAGAAACATCTTTGTGATGTGTGAATTCAACTCACAGAGTTGAACCTTCGTTAAATAGAGCAGTTTTGAAACACTCTTTTTGTAGAATCTGCAATAGATATTTGGAGCACTTTGCGGCCTTCATTGGAAACCGGAATGTCTTCACATAAAAAGTTGATAGAGGCATTCTCAGAAACTTTTTTGTCATATGTAGATTCAACTCACAGCGTTGAACCTTTCTTTTGATAGAGCAGTTTTGAAAAACTCTTTTATCGAATCTGCAAGTAGACATTTGGAGTGCTTTGAGGGCTGTGGTGCAAAAGGAAAAGTCTTCCCATAGAAACTAGACTGAAGCATTCTCAGCAACTTCTTTGTGACGTTTGCATTCATCTCACAGTGTTGAACATACCTTTTCATAGAGCAGTTTTGAAACACTCTTTTTGTAGAATCTGCAATTTGATATTTGGACTGCATTGAGGCCTTCACTGGAAACGGGAATATCTTCACATAAACACTAGACAGAAGCATTCTCAGAAACTTCTTTGTGATCTGTCCATTCAACTCACAGAGTTGAACCTTCCTTTTTATGGAGCCGTTTTGAAACACTGTTTTTGTAGAATCTGCAAGTGGATATTTGGAGCGCTTTGAGGCCTATTGTAGAGAAAGAAATATCTGCATATCAAAACTAGACAGAAGCATTCTCAGAAACTTCTTTGTGATGTTTGCATTCAAATACCAGAGTTGAACCTCCCTCTTCATAGAGCAGTTTTGAAATCCTCTTTTTGTAGAATCTGCAAGTGGATATTTGGACCACTTTGAGGCCTTCATAGGAAACAGTACTATCTTCACATAAAAACTAGATAGAAGCATTCTCAGAAACTTCTTTGTGATGTGTGAATTTAACTGAGAGAGTTGAACCTTGCTTTAATAGAGCAGTTTTGAAACACTCTTTTTGTAGAATCTGCAAGTAGATATTTGGAGCACTTTGAGACCTTCGTTGGAAACCGGAATATCTTCACATAAAAAGTAGATAGAGGCATTCTCAGAAACTTTTTTGTTATATGTAGATTCAACTCACAGTGTTGAAGCTTTCTTTTGATAGAGCAGTTTTTAAGAACTCTTTTATCGAATCTGCAAGTAGACATTTGGAGTGCTTTGAGGGCTGTAGTCGAAAAGGAAATATCTTCACATAGAAACTAGACTGAAGCATTCTCAGCAACTTCTTTGTGACGTTTGCATTCATCTCACAGTGTTGAACATACCTTTCCGTAGAGTAGTTTTGAAACACTGTTTTTGTAGAATCTGCAAGTGGATATTTGGACTGCTTTGAGGCCTTCATCGGAAACGGGAATATCTTCACATAAACACTAGGGAGAAGCATTCTCAGAAACTTCTTTGTCATCTGTCCATTCATCTCACAGAGTTGAACCTTCCTTTTTCTGGAGCAGTTTTGAAACACTGTTTTTGGAGTATCTGCAAGTGGATATTTGGAGTGCTTTGAGGCCTATGGTAGAAAAAGAAATATCTTCATATAAATAGTAGACAGAAGCATTCTCAGAAACAACTTTGTGATGTGTGCATTCAACTCAGACTGTTCAACTTTTCTTTTGATAGAGTATTTTTGAGACACTCTTGTTGTAGAATCTGCAAGTGGACATTTGGAGCACTTGGAGGGCTATGGTGAAAAAGGAAATATCTTCACATTAATACAAGACAAAAGCATTCTCAGAAACTTCTTGGTGATGTGTGCATTCAACCCACAGAGTTGAACCTTCCTTTTGATAGGGCAGTTTTGAAACACTACTTTTGAAGAATATGCAGGTGGATATTTCTACTGATTTGAGGCCTTCATTGGAAATCCAAATAACTTCATATAAACACTAGACAGAAGCATTCTCAGGAACTTCTCTGTGATGTGTGCATTCAACTCACAGGGGTGATCCTTCCTTTTGATAGAGTAGTTTTGAAACACTCTTTTTGTAGTATCTGCAACTGTATATTTGGACAGATTTGAGGCCTTCGTTGGAAACAGTAATATGTTCACATAAAAAGTAGACAAAAGCATTCTCAGAAACCACTTTGAGATATGGGCATTCAAGTCAGAGCCTTGTACCTTCATTTTGATAGTGCAGTTTTGAAGCACTCTTTTTGCAGTATCTGGAAGTGGATATTTGGAGTGCTTTGAAGCCTTCGTTGGAAACGGAAACCTATTCACATAAAAACTAGACAGAAACATTCTCAGAAAGTTCCTTGTAGTGTATGCATTCAACTGACAGAATTGAACCTTCCTTTTGATAGTGCAGTTTTGAAACACTCTTTGTAGAATCTGCAAGTGGTTAATTGGAGTACTTTGAAGTCTTCATTGGATACAGATATATCTTCACATGAAACTAGACAGATGCATTCTCAGAAACTTCGTTGTGATTTGTGCTTTCAACTCACAGAGTTGAACCTTCCTTTTGATAGAGCAGTTTTGAATCCCTCTTTTTGTATAATTTGCAAGTGGATATTTTGACTGCTTTGAGGAATTCACTGGAAACGGGAATATCTTCACATAAAAACCAGACTCAGGCATTCTCAGAAACTTCTTTGTGGTGTTTGCATTCAACTCACAGAGTTGAACCTTTCTTTTCAAAGGAAGTTTTGAAACACTCTTTTTGTAGAATCTGTAAGTGGATATTTGGACTGCTTTGAGGCCTTCATTGGAAACGGGAATATCTCCACATAAAAACTAGACTGAAACATTCTCAGAAACTACTTTGTGATGTGAGTATTCAAGTCACAGAATTTAACCTTCCTTTTGATAGAGCAGTTTTGAACACTCTTTTTGTGGAATCTGCAATTGGATATTTGGAGCGATTTGAGGCCTATGGTAGAAAAGGGAATATCCTCATACAAAAACTAGACAGAAGCATTCTCAGAAACTACTTAGTGATGTGTGCTTACAACTCACAGAATTTAACTTTTCTTTTGATAGAGTAGTTTCATAACCCTCTTTTTGTAGAATATACAAGTGGATAATTGGAGTGCCTTGAAGCCTTCACTGGAATCGGGAATATCTTCACATAAAAACTAGACAGAAGCATTCACAGAAACATCTTTGTGATGTGTGCTTTCAACTTGCAGAATTGAGCCTTCCTTTTGATAGAGTCGTTTTGAAACACTCTTTTTGTAGAATTTGCAAGTGGATAATTGGAGTGCTTTGAAGCCTTTGGTGTAAACGGGAATATCTTCACCTATAAACTAGACAGAAGCATTCTCAGAAACTTCTTTGTGATGTCTGCATTCAACACTTAGATTTGAACCTTTCTTTTGATACAGCAGTTTTGAAACACTCTTTTCGTATGATCTGTAAGTGGATATTTGGACTGCTTTGAGGCCTTCATTGGAAACGGGAATATCTTCACATAAAAACTAGAGAGAAGCATTGTCTGAAACTTCTTTGTGAAGTGTGTATTCAACTCAGAGATTTGAACCTTCCTTTTAATAGAGCAGTTTTGAAATACACTATTTGTAGAATTTGCAAGTGGATATTTGGACTGCTTTGAAGCCTTCGTTGGAATCGGGAATATCTTCACAGAAAAACTAGACAGAATCATTCTCAGAAACTTATTCGTCATGAGTGCATTGAACTCACCGAGTTGAAACTTCCTTTTCAGAGAGCAGTTTTGAAACACACTTTTTGTTTAATCTGCAAGTGGATATTTCAACTGCTTTTAGGCCCTCATTGGAAACGGGAATATCTTCACATAAAAACCAGACAGAAGTATTCTCAGAAACTTCTTTGTGATGTTTGCATTCAATTCAGAGAGTTGAACATTTCTTTTGATATAGCAGTTTTGAAACAGTCTTTTTGTAGAATCTGCAAGTGGATATTTGGACCGCTTTGAGGCCTTCGTTGGAAACAGTAATATCTTCATATAAAAACTAGACAGAAGTATTCTCAGAAACTTTTTTTAGATATGTGCATTCAATTCACAGAGTTGAACCTTCATTTTGATAGTGCAGTTTTGAAACAATCTTTTTGTAGTATCTGCAAGTGGATATTTTGAGTGCTTTGAAGCCTACGTTGGAGACGGGAATATATTCACATAAAAACTGGACAGAACAATTCTCAGAAAGTTCCTTGTAATGTATGCATTCAACTCACAGAATTGAAACTTCCTTTTGATAGTACAGTTTTGAAACACTCTTTTCGTAGAATCTGCAAGTGGATAATCTGAGTACTTTGAAGTCTTCATTGGATACAGGTATATCTTCACATAAAAACTAGACAGATGCATTCTCAGAAACTTTTTTGTGATTTCTGCCTTCAACTCACAGAGATGAACCTTCCTTTTGATAGAGCAGTTTTGAAACACTCTTTTTGTAGAATCTGCAAGTGGATATTTGGAGTGGTTTGAAGCCTTTGTTGGAAATGGGAATATCTCCACATAAAAACTAGATAGAATCATTCTCAGAAACTTCTTTCTGATGTGTGCATTCAACTCACAGAGATGAACCTTCCTTTTGATAGTGCAGTTTTGAAACACTCTTTTTATAGAATATGCAAATGGATATTTGGAGTGCTTTGAAGCCTTCGTTGGAAACTGGAATATCTTCACATAAAAACTAGACAGAAGGATTCTCAGAAACTGCTCTGTGACGTGTGCATTCAACTCAGAGTTGAACCCTCCTTCTGGCAGAGCAGATTTGAAACACTGTTTTTGTAGAATCCGCAAGTGGATATTTGGAGCACTTTGAGGCCTCTGGTAGAAAATGTAATTTCTTTAAATAAAAACTAGAAAGAAGCATTCTCAGAAACTAGTTTGTGATGTGTGCATTCAACTCACGGAGTTTAAACTTTCTTTTGATAGAACAATTTTGAAACCCTCTTTTGGTATAGTCTGCAAGTGGATATTTTGACTGCTTTGAGGAAATCGTTGGAAACGGGAATTTCTTCACATGAATAGCAGACTGAGGCATTCTCAGAAACTTCTTTGTGATGTGCGCATTCAACTCACAGTGTTGAACTTTCTTTTCAAAGGGAAGTTTTGAAACACTCTTTTTGTAGACTCTGCTAGTGGATATTTGGACTGCTTTGAGGCCTTCATTGGAAACGGGAATATCTTCACATAAAAACTAGACAGAAGCATTCTCAGAAACTACTTTGTGATGTGAGTATTCAACTCACAGAATTTAACATTCCATTTTATAGAGCAGTTTTGAAACACTCTTTTTGTATAATCTGCAATTGATTTTTGGACTGATTTGAGGCCTATGGTAGAAAAGGAAATATCTTCATACAAAAACTAGACAGAAGCATTCTCAGAGACTTCTTTGTGATGTGTGCTTACAACTCACAGAATTTAACTTTTCTTTTTTTTTTTTTATTTATAATTAATATACTTTAAGTTTTAGGGTACATGTGCACAATATGCAGGTTAGTTACGTATGTATACATGTGCCATGCTGGTGTGCTGCACCCACTAACTCGTCATCTAGCATTAGGTGTATCTCCCAATGCTATCCCTCCCCCTCCCCCCACCCCACAACAGTCCCCAGAGTGTGATGTTCCTTTTCCTGTGTCCACGTGTTCTCATTGTTCAATTCCCACCTATGAGTGAGAATATGTAGTGTTTGGTTTTTTGTTCTTGTGATAGTTTACTGAGAATGATGATTTCCAATTTCATCCATGTCCCTACAAAGGACATGAACTCATCATTTTTTATGGCTGCATAGTATTCCATGGTGTATATGTGCCACATTTTCTTCATTCAGTCTATCATTTTTGGACATTTGGGTGGGTTCCAAGTCTTTGCTATTGTGAATAATGTCACAATAAACATACGTTTCCATGTGTCTTTATAGCAGCATGATTTATAGTCTTTTGGGTATTACCCAGTAATGGGATGGCTGGGTCAAATGGTATTTCTAGTTCTAGATCCCTGAGGAATCGCCACACTGACTTCCACAATGGTTGAACTAGTTGACAGTCCCACCAACAGTGTAAAAGTGTTCCTATTTCTCCACATCCTCTCCAGCATCTGTTGTTTCCTGTCTTTTTACTGATTGCCATTCTAACTGGTGTGATATGGTATCTCATTGTGGTTTGATTTGCATTTCTCTGATGACCAGTGATGATGAGCAGTTTTTCATGTGGTTTTTTGGCTGCATAACTGTCTTCTTTTGAGAAGTGTCTGTTCATGTCTTTTGCCCAGTTTTTGATGGCGTTGTTTGTTTTTTTCTTGTAAATTTGTTTGAGTTCATTGTAGATTCTGGACATTAGCCCTTTGTCAGATGAGTAGGTTGCGAAAATTTTCTCATATTTTGTAGGTTGCCTGTTCACTCTGATGGTAGTTTCTTTTGCTGTGCAGAAGCTCTTTAGTTTAATTAGATCCCATTTGTCAATTTTGGCTTTTGCTGCCATTGCTTTTGGTATTTTAGCCATGAAGTCCTTGCCCATGCCTATGTCCTGAGTGGTAATGCCTAGGTTTTCTTCTAGGGTTTTTATGGTTTTAGGTCGGACGTTTAAGTCTTCAATCCATCTTGAATTAATTTTTGTATAAGGTTTAAGGTGGGGATCCAGTTTCAGCTTTCTACATATGGCTAGCCAGTTTTCCCAGCACCATTTATTAAATAGGGAATCCTTTCCCCATTGCTTGTTTTTCTCAGGTTTGTCAAAGATCAGATAGTTGTAGATATGCAGCATTATTTCTGAGGGCTCTGTTCTGTTCTATTGATCTATATCTCTGTTTTGGTTCCAGTACCATGCTGTTTTGGTTACTGTAGCCTTGTAGTATAGTTTGAAGTCAGGTAGCGTGATGCCTCCAGCTTTGTTCTTTTGGCTTAGGATTGACTTGGTGATGCGGGCTCTTTTTTTGTTCCATATGAACTTTAAAGTAGTTTTTTCCAATTCTGTGAAGGCATTGGTAGCTTGATGGGGATGGCATTGAATCTGTAAATTACCTTGGGCAGTATGGCCATTTTCATGATATTGATTCTTCCTACCCATGAGCATGGAATGTTCTTCCATTTGTTTGTATCCTCTTTTATTTCACTGAGCAGAGGTTTGTAGTTCTCCTTGAAGAGGTCCTTCACATCCCTTGTAAGTTGGATTCCTAGGTATTTTATTCTCTTTGAAGCAATTGTGAATGGGAGTTCAGTCATGATTTGGCTCTCTGTCTGTTGTTGGTGTATAAGAATGCTTGTGATTTTTATACATTGATTTTGTATCCTGAGACTTTGCTGAAGTTGCTTGTCAGCTGAAGGAGATTTTTGACTGAGACAATGGGATTTTCTAGATATACAATCATGTCTTCTGCAAACAGGCACAATTTGACTTCCTCTTTCCTAATTGAATACCCTTTATTTCCTTCTGCTGCCTAATTGCCCTGGCCAGAACTTCCAACACTTTGTTGAATAAGAGTGGTGAGAGAGGGCATACCTGTCTTGTGCCGGTTTTCAAAGGGAATGATTCCAGTTTTTGCCCATTCAGTATGATATTGGCTCTGGGTTTGTCATAGATAGCTCTTATTATTTTGAGATACATGTCATCAATACCTAATTTACTGAGAGTTTTTAGCATGAAGGGTTGTTCAATTTTGTCAAAGGCCTTTTCTGCATCTATTGAGATAATCATGTGGTTTTTTTCTTTGGTTCTGTTTATATGCTGGATTAGATGTATTGATTTTCATATATTGAACCAGCCTTGCATCCCAGGGATGAAGCCCACTTGATCATGGTGGATAAGCTTTTTGATGTGCTGCTGGATTCGTTTTGCCAGTATTTTATTGAGGATTTTTGCATCAATGTTCATCAAGGATATTGGTCTAAAATTCTCTTTTTTCATTGTGTCTCTACCCGGCTTTGGTATCAGGATGATGCTGGCCTCATAAAATGAGTTAGGGAGGATTCCCTCTTTTTTATTGATTGGAATAGTTTCAGAAGGAATGGTACCAGTTCCTCCTTGTACCTCTGGTAGAATTCGGCTGTAAATCCATCTGGTCCTGGACTCTTTTTGGTTGGTAAGCTATTGATTATTGCCACAATTTCAGATCCTGTTATTGGTCTATTCAGAGATTCAACTTCTTCCTGATTTAGTCTTGGGAGAGTGTATGTGTCGAGGAATGTATCCATTTCTTCTAGATTTTCTAGTTTATTTGTGTAGAGGTGTTTATAGTATTCTCTGATGGTAGTTTGTATTTCTGTGTGATTGGTGGTGATATCCCCTTTATCAGTTTTTATTGTGTCTATTTGATTCTTTTCTTTTTTCTTCCTTATTAGTCTTGCTAGCGGTCTATCTACTTTGTTGATCCTTTCATAAAAACAGCTCCTGGATTCGTTAATTTTTTGAAGGGTTTTTTTGTGTCTCTATTTCCTTCAGTTCTGCTCTGATTTTAGTTATTTCTTGCCTTCTGCTAGCTTTTGAATGTGTTTGCTCTTGCTTTTCTAGTTCTTTTAATTGTGATGTTCGGGTGTCAATTTTGGATCTTTCCTGCTTTCTCTTGTGGGCATTTAGTGCTATAAATTTCCCTCTACACACTGCTTTGAATGCATCCCAGAGATTCTGGTATGTTGTGTCTTTGTTCTCATTGGTTTCAAAGAATGTCTTTATTTCTGCCTTCATTTCGTTATGTACCCAGTAGTCATTCAGGAGCAGGTTGTTCAGTTTCCATGTAGTTGAGCGGTTTTGACTGAGATTCTTAATCCTGAGTTCTAGTTTGATTGCACTGTGGTCTGAGAGATAGTTTGTTATAATTTCTGTCCTTTTCCATTTGCTGAGGAGAGCTTTACTTCCAAGTATGTGGTCAATTTTGGAATAGGTGTGGTGTGGTGCTGAAAAAAATGTATATTCTGTTGATTTGTGGTGGAGAGTTCTGTAGATGTCTATTAGGTCCGTTTGGTGCAGAGATGAGTTCAATTCCTGGGTATCCTTGTTGAATTTCTGTCTTGTTGATCTGTCTGAAGTTGACAGTGGGGTGTTAAATTCTCCCATTATTAATGTGTGGGAGTCTAAGTCTCTTTGTAGGTCACTCGGGACTTGCTTTATGAGTTTGGGTGCTCCTGTATTGGGTGCATATATATTTAAGATAGTTAGCTCTTTTTGTTGAATTGATCCCTTTACCATTATGTAATGGCCTTCTTTGTCTCTTTTGATCTTTGTTGGTTTAAAGTCTGTTTTATCAGAGACTAGGATTGCAACCCCTGCCTTTTTTTGTTTTCCATTTGCTTGGTAGATCTTCCTCCATCCCTTTATTTGGAGCCTATGTGTGTCTCTGCATGTGAGATGGGTTTCCTGAATACAGCACACTGATGGGTCTTGACTCTTTATCCAACTTGCCAGTCTGTGTCTTTTAATTGGAGCATTTAGTCCATTTACATTTAAAGTTAACACTGTTATGTGTGAATTTGATCCTGTCATTATGATGTTAGCTGGTGATTTTGCTCGTTAGTTGATGCAGTTTCTTCCTAGTCTCAATGGTCTTTACATTTTGGTATGATTTTGCAGTGGCTGATACCAGTTGTTCCTTTCCATGTTTAGTGCTTCCTTCAGGAGCTCTTTTAGGGCAGGCCTGGTGGTGACAAAATCTCTCAGCATTTGCTTGTCTGTAAGGTATTTTATTTCTCCTTCACTTATGAAGCTTAGTTTGGCTGGATATGAAATTCTGGGTTGAAAATTCTTTTCTTTAAGAATGTTGAATATTGGCCCCCACTGTCTTCTGGCTTGTAGAGTTTCTGCCGAGAGATCCGCTGTTAGTCTGATGGGCTTCCCTTCGTGAGGGTAACCCGACCTTTCTCTCTGGCTGCCCTTAACATTTTTTCCTTCATTTCAACTTTGGTGAATCTGACAATTATGTGTCTCGGAGTTGCTCTTCTCGAGGAGTATCTTTGGGGTATTCTCTGTATTTACTGAATCTGAATGTTGGCCTGCTTTGGTAGATTGGGGCAGTTCTCCTGGATAATATCCTGCAGAGTGTTTTCCAACTTGGTTCCATTCTCCCCATCACTTTCAGGTACACCAATCAGACGTAGATTTGGTCTTCTCACATAGTCCCATATTTCTTGGAGACTTTGCTCATTTCTTTTTATTCTTTTTTCTCTAAACTTCCCTTCTCACTTCATTTCATTCATTTCCTCTTCCATCACTGATACCTTTTGTTCCAGTTGATGGCATCAGCTCCTGAGGCTTCTGCATTCTTCACGTAGTTCTCAAGCCTTGGTTTTCAGCTGCATCAGCTCCTTTAAGCACCTCTCTGTATTGGTTATTCTAGTTATACATTCTTCTAAATTTTTTTCAAAGTTTTCAACTTCTTTGCCTTTGGTTTGAATGTCCCCTCATAGCTTGGAATAATTTGATCGTCTGAAGCCTTCTTCTTGCAACTCGTCAAAGTCATTCTCCATCCAGCTTTGTCCCATTGCTGGTGAGGAACTGCGTTCCTTTGGAGGAGGAGAGGCGCTCTGCTTTTTAGAGTTTCCAGTTTTTCTGCTCTGTTTTCTCCCCATCCTTGTGGTATTATCTACTTTTGGTCTTTGACGATGGTGATGTACAGATGGGTTTTTGGTGTGGATGTGCTTTCTGTTTGTTAGTTTTCCTTCTAACAGACAGGACCCTCAGCTGCAGGTCTGTTGGAGTACCTGGCCGTGTGAGGTGTCAGTCTGCCCCTGCTAGGAAGTGCCTCCCAGTTAGGCTTCTGGGGGGTCAGGGGTCAGGGACCCACTTGAGGAGGCAGTCTGCTGGTCCTCTGATCTCCAGCTCTGTGCTGGGAGAACCACTGCTCTCTTCAAAGCTTTCAGACAGGGACACTTAAGTCTGCAGAGGTTACTGCTGTCTTTTTGTTTGTCTGTGCCCTGCCCCCAGAGGTGGAGCCTACAGAGGCAGGCAGACCTCCTGGAGCTGTGGTGGGCTCCACCCTGTTCCAGCTTCCTGGCTGCTTTGTTTACCTAAGCAAGCCTGGGCAATGGTGGGCGCCCCTCCCCCAGCCTCGCTGCCGCCTTGCAGTTTGATCTAAGACTGCTGTGCTAGCAATCAGGTAGACTCCCTGGGCATAGGACCTTCTGAGCCAGGTGTGGGACACAATCTCCTGGTGTGCCGTTTTTTAAGCCCATCGGAAAAGCTCTGTATTACGGTGGGAGTGACCCAATCTTCCAGGTGCCCTCTGTCATCCCTTTCTTTGACTAGGAAAAGTAACTCCCTGAACCCCTGCGCTTCCCGAGTGAGGCAATGACACGCCCTGCTTCGACTCCTGCATGGTGTATGCACCCACTGACCTGCGCCCACTGTCTGGGACTCCCTAGTGAGATGAACCCGGCACCTCAGATAGAAATGCAGAAATCACTGGTCTTCTGTGTCGCTCAGGCTGGAAGCTGTAGACCGGAGCTGTTCCTATTCAGCCATCTTGGCTCCTCTCCCCCTTAAATTTTCTTTTGATAAAGTAGTTTTGAAACCCTCTTTTTGCAGAATCTGCAAGTGGAAAATTCTATTCCTTTGAAGTCTTCATTGGAAACTGGAATATATTCACATAAAAACTAGACAAAAGCATTCTGAGAAACATCTTTGTGGTGTGTGCATTCAACTTACAGAATGGAACCTTTCTTTTGATATAACAGTTTTGTAACACAGTTTTTGTAGAATCCGCAAGTTGACATTGGGAGAACTTTGAGGACTATGGTGGAAAAAGAAATATCTTCACATAAAAACGAGACAGAAGCATTCTCAGAAACTACTTTGTGATGTCTGCATTCGACTCACAGAGTTGAACCATTGTTTTGATAGAGCAGTTTTGAAACACTCTTTCTATTGAATCTGCAAGTGGATATTTGTACTGCTTTGAGGCCTTCTTTGGTAATGGGAATATCTTCACATAAAAACTAGACAGAAGCATTCTCAGAAACTTTTTTGTGATGTGTGCATTCAAGTCACGGAGTTGAACATTCCTTTTCATAGAGCAGTTTTGAAACACTCTTTTTGTAGAATCTGCAAGTGGTTAATTGGAGTACTTTGAAGTCTTCATTAGAAACGGCTATATCTTCACATAAAAACTAGACAGTTGCATTCTCAGAAACTTCTTTGTGATGTGTGAATTCAACTCACAGGGTTGAACCTTCCTTTTGATAGAGCAGTTTTGAAAAACTCTTATTGTAGGATCTGCAAGTGGATATCTGGAGTATTTTGGAACCTTCGTTGGAAATGGGAATATCTTCACATAAAAACTAGAAAGAAACATTCTCAGAAACTGCTTTGTTTTGGGTGCATTCAGCTCACAGAGTTTAATCTTTCTTTTGATAGAGCAGTTTTGAAACCCTCCTTTTGTAGAATCTGCAAGTGGATATTTGGACTGCCTTGAGGCCTTCTTTGGAAACGGGAATATCTTCACAGAAAAACTAGACAGAAGCATTCTCAGAAACTTTTTTCTGATGTGTGCATTCAACTGACAGAGTTACACCTTCCTTTTGATAGAGCAGTTTCCAAACACACTTTTTGTATGATCTGAAAGTGGATATTTGAAATGCTGTGAGGCCTTCATTGGAAACGGGAATAGCTTCACATAAACACTAGACAGAAGGATTCTCAGAAACTACTTTGTGATGTGTGCATTCAACTCACAGAGTTGAACCCTACTTTTGTAGAGCAGATTTGAAACACTCTTTTTGTGGAATCTGAAAGTGGATATTTGGAACCTTTTGAGGCCTCTGTAGAAAAGGTAATTTCTTTAAATAAAAAACTAGAAAGAAGCACTTTCAGAAACTAGTTTGTGATGTTTGCATTCAACCCATGGAGTTTAACCTTTCTTTGGATAGAGCAGTTTTGAAACACTCTTTTTGTAGAATCTGCAAGTGGATATTTTGACTGCTTGGAGGTATTCGTTAGCAACGGAAATATCTTAATATAAAAACAAGACTGAAGCATTCTCAGAAACTTCTTTGTGATGTTTGCATTCAACTCACAGAGTTGAACCTTTCTTTTCAAACAGAAGTTTTGAAACACTCTTTTTGTAGAATCTGCAAGTGTTTATTTGGACTGCTTTGAGGGCTTCATTGGAAATGGGAATATCTTCACATAAAAACTAGACAGAAGCATTCTGAGAAACTTCCTTGTGATGTGTGCATTCAACTCACAGAGTTGAACCTTCCTTTTGATAGCGCAGTTTTGAAACTCTCTTTTTGTAGAATCTGCAAGTGGATAATTGGAGTACTTTGAAGTTTTCATTAGAAACAGCTATATCTGAAGATGGCCGAATAGGAACAGCTCCAGTCTACAGCTCCCAGCGTGAGCGACACAGAAGATGGGTGATTTCTGCATTTCCATCTGAGGTACCGGGTTCATCTCACTAGGGAGTGCCAGACAGTGGGCGCAGGTCAATGGGTGCGTGCACTGTGCGCGAGCCGAAGCAGGGCGAGGCATTGCCTCACTTGGGAAATGCAAGGGGTCAGGGAGTTCCCTTTCTGAGTCAAAGAAAGGGGTGACGGACGGCACCTGGAAAATCGGGTCACTCCCACCCGAATACTGCGCTTTTCCGACAGGCTTAAAAAACGGTGCACCACGAGATTGTATCCCGCACCTGGCTCAGAGGGTCCTACACCCACGAAGTCTCGCTGATTGCTAGCACAGCAGTCTGAGTTCAAACTGCAAGGCGGCAGCGAGGCTGGGGGAGGGGCGCCCGCCATTGCCCAGGCTTGCTTAGGTAAACAAAGCAGCCAGGAAGCTGGAACAGGGTGGAGCCCACCACAGCTCAAGGAGGCCTGCCTGTCTCTGTAGGCTCCACCTCTGGGGGCAGGGCACAGGCAACAAAAAACAGCAGTAACCTCTGCAGACTTAAATGTCCCTGTCTGAGCTTTGAAGAGAGCAGTGGTTCTCCCAGCACGCAGCTGGAGATCTGAGAATGGGCAGACTGCCTCCTGAAGTGGGTCCCTGACACCTGACACCCGAGAAACCTAACTGGGAGGCACCCCCCAGCAGGGGCACACTGACACCTCATACTGCCAGGTACTCCAACAGACCTGCAGCTGAGGGTCCTGTCTGTTAGAAGGAAAACTAACAAACAGAAAGCACATCCACACCAAAAACCCATCTGTACATCACCATCATCAAAGACCAAAAGTAGATAAAACCACAAAGATGGGGAAAAAAACAGAACAGAAAAACTGGAAATTCTAAAATGCAGAGTGCCTCTCCTCCTCCAAAGGAACGCAGCTCCTCACCAGCAACGGAACAAAGCTGGATGGAGAATGATTTTGACAAGCTGAGAGAAGAAGGCTTCAGACGATCAAATTACTCTGAGCTATGGGAGGACATTCAAACCAAAGGCAAAGAAGTTGAAAACTTTGAAAAAAATTTAGAAGAATGTATAACTAGAATAACCAATACAGAGAAGTGCTTAAAGGAGCTGATGCAGCTGAAAACCAAGGCTCCAGAACTACGTGAAGAATGCAGAAGCCTCAGGAGCCAATGCGATCAACTGGAAGAAAGGGTATCAGCGATGGAAGATGAAATGAATGAAATGAAGTGAGAAGGGAAGTCTAGAGAAAAAAGAATAAAAAGAAATGAGCAAAGCCTCCAGGAAATATGGGACTATGTGAAAAGACCAAATCTACGTCTGATTGGTGTACCTGAAAGTGATGGGGAGAATGGAACCAAGTTGGAAAACACTCTGCAGGATATTATCCAGGAGAAATTCCCCAATCTAGCAAGGCAGGCCAACGTTCAGATTCAGGAAATACAGAGAACGCCACAAAGATACTCCTCGAGAAGAGCAACTCCGAGACACATAATTGTCAGATTCACCAAAGTTGAAATGAAGGAAAAAATGTTAAGGGCAGCCAGAGAGAAAGGTCGGGTTACCCTCACGAAGGGAAGCCCATCAGACTAACAGCGGATCTCTCGGCAGAAACCCTACAAGCCAGAAGACAGTGGGGGCCAATATTCAACATTCTTAAAGAAAAGAATTTTCAACCCAGAATTTCATATCCAGCCAAACTAAGCTTCATAAGTGAAGGAGAAATAAAATACTTTACAAACAAGCAAATGCTGAGAGATTTTGTCACCACCAGGCCTGCCCTAAAAGAGCTCCTGAAGGAAGCACTAAACATGGAAAGGAACAACCGGTATCAGCCACTGCAAAATCATACCAAAATGTAAAGACCATTGAGACTAGGAAGAAACTGCATCAACTAACGAGCAAAATCACCAGCTAACATCATAATGATAGGATCAAATTCACACATAACAATATTAACTTTAAATGTAAATGGACTAAATGCTCCAATTAAAAGACACAGACTGGCAAATTGGACAAAGAGTCAAGACCCATCACTGTGCTGTATTCAGGAAACCCATCTCACGTGCAGAGACACACATAGGCTCAAAATAAAAGGATGGAGGAAGATCTACCAAGCAAATGGAAAACAAAAAACGGCAGGGGTTGCAATCCTAGTCTCTGATAAAACAGACTTTAAATCAACAAAGATCAAAAGAGACAAAGAAGGCCATTACATAATGGTAAAGGGATCAATTCAACAAAAAGAGCTAACTATCCTAAATATATATGCACCCAATACAGGAGCACCCAGATTCATAAAGCAAGTGCTTAGTGACCTACAAAGAGACTTAGACTCCCACACATTAATAATGGGAGAATTTAACACCCCACTGTCAACATTAGACAGATCAACAAGACAGAAAGTCCACAGGGATACCCAGGAATTGAACTCATCTCTGCACCAAGCGGACCTAATAGACATATACATAACTCTCCACCACAAATCAATAGAAAATACATTTTTTTCAGCACCACACCACACCTATTCCAAAATTGACCACATAGTGGGAAGTAAAGCTCTCCTCAGCAAATGGAAAAGAACAGAAATTATAACAAACTATCTCTCAGACCACAGTGCAATCAAACTAGAACTCAGGATTAAGAATCTCAGTCAAAACCACTCAACTACATGGAAACTGAACACCCTGCTCCTGAATGACTACTGGGTACATAACGAAATGAAGGCAAAAATAAAGATGTTCTTTGAAACCAACGAGAACAAAGACACAACATACCAGAATCTCTGGGACACATTCAAAGCAGTGTGTAGAGGGAGATTTATAGCACTAAATGCCCACAAGAGAAAGCAGGAAAGATCCAAAATTGACGCCTGAACATCACAATTAAAAGAACTAGAAAAGCTAGAGCAAACACATTCAAAAGCTAGCAGAAGGCAAGAAATAACTAAAATCAGAGCAGAACTGAAGGAAATAAAGACACAAAAACCCTTCAAAAAATTAACGAATCCAGGAGCTGGTTTTTTGAAAGGATCAACAAAGTTGATAGACCACTAGCAAGACTAATAAAGAAAAAAAGAGAGAAGAATCAAATAGACACAATAAAAAATGATAAAGGGGATATCACCACCGATCTCACAGAAACACAAACTACTACCAGGGAATACTACAAAAACCTCTACACAAATAAACTAGAGAATCTAGAAGAGATGGATACATTCCTGGACACATACACTCTCCCAAGACTAAACCAGGAAGAAGTTGAATCTCTGAATAGACCAATAACAGGATCTGAAATTGTGGCAATAATCAATAGCTTACCAACCAAAAAGAGTCCAGGACCAGATGGATTCACAGCCGAATTCTACCAGAGGTACAAGGAAGAAATGGTACCATTCCTTCTGAAACTATTCCAATCAATAGAAAAAGAGGGAATCCTCCCTAACTCATTTTATGAGGCCAGCATCATTCTGATACCAAAGCCAGGCAGAGAAACAACAAAAAAAGAGAATTTTAGACCAATATCCTTGAAGAACATTGATGGAAAAATCCTCAATAAAATACTGGCAAAACGAATCCAGCAGCACATCAAAAAGCTTATCCACCATGATCAAGTGGGCTTCATCCCTGGGATGCAAGGCTGGTTCAATATATGAAAATCAATAAATGTAATCCAGCATATCAACAGAGCCAAAGACAAAAACCACATGATTATCTCAATAGATGCAGAAAAAGGCTTTAACAAAATTGAACAACCCTTCATGCTAAAAACTCTCAATAAATTAGGTATTGATGGGACGTATTTCAAAATAATAAGAGCTATCTATGACAAACCCACAGCCAGTATCATACTTAATGGGCAAAAACTGGAAGCATTCCCTTTGAAAACTGGCACAAGACAGGGATGTCCTCTCTCACCACTCCTATTCAACATAGTGTTGGAAGTTCTGGCCAGGGCAATTAGGCAGGAGAAGGAAATAAAGGGTATTCAATTAGGAAAAGAGGAAGTCAAATTTTTCCTGTTTGCAGACGACATGATTGTATATCTAGAAAACCCCATTGTCTTGGCCCAAATTCTCCTTAAGTTGATAAACAACTTCAGCAAAGTCTCAGGATACAAAATCAATGTACAAAAATTGCAAGCATTCTTATACACCAACAACAGACAAACAGAGAGCCAAATCATGACTGAACTCCCATTCACAATTGCTTCAAAGAGAATAAAATACCTAGGAATCCAACTTACAAGGGATGTGAAGGACCTCTTCAAGGAGAACTACAAACCACTGCTCAAGGAAATAAAAGAGGATACAAACAAATGGAAGAACATTCCATGCTCATGGGTAGGAAGAATCAATATCGTGAAAATGGCCATACTGACCAAGGTAATTTACAGATTCAATGCCATCCCCATCAAGCTACCAATACCTTTCTTCACAGAATTGGAAAAAACTACTTTAAAGTTCATATGGAACCAAAAAGGAGCCCGCATCGCCAAGTCAATCCTAAGCCAAAAGAACAAAGCTGGAGGCATCACACTACCTGACTTCAAACTATACTACAAGGCTACAGTAACGAAAACAGCATGGTACTGGTATCAAAACAGAGATATAGATCAATGGAACAGAACAGAGCCCTCAGAAATAACGCCGCATATGTACAACTATCTGATCTTTGACAAACCTGAGAAAAACAAGCAATGGGGAAAGGATTCCCTATTTAATAAATGATGCTGGGAAAACTGGCTAGCCATATGTAGAAAGCTGAAACTGGATCCCTTCCTTACACCTTATACAAAAATCAATTCAAGATGGATTAAAGAGTTAAACATTAGACCTAAAACCATAAAAACCCTAGAAGAAAACCTAGGCATTACCATTCAGGCCATAGGCATGGGCAAGGACTTCATGTCTAAAACACAAAAAGCAATGGCAACAAAAGACAAAATTGACAAATGGGATCTAATTAAACTAAAGAGCTTCTGCACAGCAAAAGAAACTACCATCAGAGTCAACAGGCAACCTACAAAATGGGAGAAAATTTTCGCAACCTACTCATCTGAAAAAGGGCTAATATCCAGAATCTACAATGAACTCAAACAAATTTACAAGAAAAAAACAAACAACCCCATCCAAAAGTGGGCAAAGGACATGAATAGACACTTCTCAAAAGAAGACATTTATACAGCCAAAACACACATGAAAAAATGTTCACCATCACTGGCCATCAGAGAAATGCAAATCAAAACCACAATGAGATACCATCTCACACCAGTTAGAATGGCAATCATTAAAAAGTCAGGAAACAACAGATGCTGGAGAGGATGTGGAGAAATAGGAACACTTTTACACTGGTGGTGGGACTGTCAACTAGTTCAACCATTGTGGAAGTCAGTGTGGCGATTCCTCAGGGATCTAGAACTAGAAATACCATTTGACCCAGCCATCCCATTACTGGGTATATAACCAAAGGACTATAAATTATGCTGCTATAAAGACACATGCACACGTATGTTTATTGTGGCATTATTCACAATAGCAAAGACTTGGAACCAACCCAAATGTCCAACAATGATAGACTGGATTAAGAAAATGTGGCCCATATACACCATGGAATACTATGCAGCCATAAAAAATGATGAGTTCATGTACTTTGTAGAGACATGGATGAAATTGGAAATCATCATTCTCAGTAAACTATCGCAAGAACAAAAAACCAAACTCCGCATGTTCTCACTCATAGGTGGGAATTGAACAATGAGATCACATCGACACAGGAAGGGGAATATCACACTCTGGGGACTGTTGTGGGGTGGGGGGAAGGGGGAGGGATAGCATCGGGAGATATACCTAATCCTAGATGACGAGTTAGTGGGTGCAGCGCACCAGCATGGCACATGTATACATATGTAACTAACCTGCACAATGTGCACATGTACCCTAAAACTTAAAGTATAATAAAAAAATAAAAAAATTAAAAAAATTAAAATAAAAAAAAACAACCCATTTTCTGGGGAGAAAAAAAAAAACTAGACGGATGCATTCTCAGAAACTACTTTTGGATGTGTGCATTCAACTCAAAGAATTTAAAATTTCTTTTGATAGAGCAGTTTTGAAACACTCTTTTTGTAGAATCTGCAAGTGGATATTTGGAAACTTTTGAGCCCTATGGTAGAAAAGGAAATATCTTCATAGGAAAACTAGAAAGAAGCATTCTCGGAAACTACTTCGTGATGTGTGCATTCACCTCACAGAGTTTAACCTTTCTTTAGATACAGCAGTTTTGTAACACTCTTTTTGTAGAATATGCAAGTAGATATTTGGAGAACTTTGAGGGCTATGGTGGAAAAGGAAATACCTTCACATAAAAACTAGACATAAGCATTCTCAGAAACTTCTTTCTGAGATTTGCATTCAACTCACAGAGTTGAACGTTTCTTTTCATAGAGCAGATTTGAAACACTCTTTTTGTAGAATCTGCAAGTGGATATTTGGACTGCTTTGAGGCCTTCCTTGTAAACGGGAATATCTTCACATACAATCTAGACAGAAGCATTCTCAGAAACTTATTTGTGATGTGTGCATTCAACACACAGAGTTAAATCTTTCTTTTGATAGAGCAATTTTGAAACACTCTTTTTGCAGAATCCGCAATTGGATAATTGGGGTGCTTAGAGGCCTATGGTAGAAAAGGAAATATCTACATATAAAAACTAGACAGAAGCATTCTCAGAAACTACTTTGTGATGTGTGCTCACAATTCACATAATTCACCTTTCTTTTGATAGAGCAGTTTTGAGACACTCTTTGTAGAATCTGCATTGGACATTTGGACTGCTTTGAGGCCTTCGTTGGAAATGGGAATATCTTCACGTGAAAACTAGACAGAAGCATTCTCAGAAACTTCTTTGTGATGTGGACATTCAACTCACAGAGTTGAACATTCCTATTGATAGAGCAGTTTTGAACACACTTGTACAATCTGCAAGTGGATAATTGGAGTAATTTGAAGTCTTCGTTGGAAACGGGTATATCTTCACATAAAAACTAGACAGATGCATTCTCAGAAACTATTTTGTGATGTGTGCTCACAATTCACATAATTCACCTTTCTTTTGATAGAGCAGTTTTGAAACACTCTTTTTGTAGCATCTGCATTGGGCATTTGGACTGCTTTGAGGCCTTCGTTGGAAATGGGAATATCTTCACGTGAAAACTAGACAGAAGCATTCTCAGAAACTTCTTTGTGATGTGGACATTCACCTCACAGAGTTGAACATTCCTATTGATAGAGCAGTTTTGAACACACTTGTTGTACAATCTGCAAGTGGATAATTGGAGTAATTTGAAGTCTTCGTTGGAAACGGGTATATCTTCACATAAAAACTAGAAAGATGCATTCTCAGAAAGTTCTTTGTGATGTGTGCATTCAACTCACAGAGTTGAACCTTCCTATTGATAGAGCAGTTTTGAAACACTCTTTTTGTAGAATCTGCAAGTGGACATGTCATGCTCTTTGAGGTCTTTGGTGGAAAAGAAAGTATCTTCACATAAAAACCAGACAGAAGCATTCTCAGAAACTTCTTGTAATGTGTGCATTTAACTCACAGAGTTGAACCTTCCTTTTCATAGAGAAGTTTTGATACACTCTTTTTGTAGAATCTGCAAGTAGATATTTGGAGTGCTTTCAGGCCTTCATTGGAAACCGGAATATCTTCACATAAAAACTAGACAGAAGCATTCTCAGAAACTTCCTTGCGATGTGTGCATTCATCTCACAGATTTAGACATTCCTGTTTATTGAGCAGTTTTGAAACACTCTTTTTATAGAATCTGCAAGTGGATAATTGGACTAATTTGAAGCCTTCGTTGGAAACGGGAATATCTTCACATAAAAACTAGACAGATGCATTATTAGAAACTTCATTGTGATGTGTGCGTTCAACTCACAGAGTTTAAACCTCCTTTTGATAGAGCTGTATTGAAACCCTCTTTTTGTAGAATCTGCAAGTGAATATTTGGAGCACTTTGAGGCCTATGGTAAAAAAGGAAATATCTTCATATAAAAGCTAGAAAGAAGCATTCTTAGAAACTAATTTGTGATGTGTGCATTCATCTCACAGAGTTTAACCTTTCTTTTGACAGAGCAGTTAGAAACACTCTTTTTGTAGAATCTGAAACTGTACATTTGGAACACTTTGTGGGCTATGGTGGAAAAAGAAATATCTTCACATAAATTCTAGACAGAAGCATTCTCAGAAACTTCTTTCTGATGTTTGCATTCAACTCACAGAGTTAAACTTTCTTTTGATAGAGCACTTTTGAAACACTCTTTTTGTAGAATCTGCAAGTGGACATTTGTAGAAGTTTAAGGTATATGGTGGAAAAGGAAATATCTTCACATAAAAACTAGCCAGAAGCATTCTCAGAAACTTCTTTGTGATGGGTGCATTCAACTCACAGAGTTGAACATTTCTTTTGGTAGAGAAGTTTTGAAACACTCTCTTTGTGGAATCTGCAAGTGGACATATGGAGCACTTTGAGGGCTATGGTGAAAAAAGAAGTATCATCACATAAAAACAAGACAGAGGCATTCTCAGAAACTTCTTTGTGATTTTTGCATTCAACTCACAGTGTTCAACCTTTCTTTTGATAGAGCAGTTTTGAAACACACTTTTTGAAGAATCTGCAAGTGGATATTTGGACTGCTTTGAGGCCTTTGTTGGAAACGGGAATATCTTCACATAAAAACGAGACAGAAGCATTCTCAGAAAGTACTTTGTTATGTGTGCATTCAACTCACAGAGTTGAACACTCGTTTTGATACAGAAGTTTTGAAACACTGTTTTTGTAGGATCTGAAAGTGCATATTTGGAGCCCTTTGAGGCCTATTGTACAAAAGGAAATATCTTGATATAAAAACTAGAAAGAAGCATTCTCAGAAACTAGTTGTGATGTGTGCATTCGACTCACAGAGTTGAATGTTTCTTTTGACAGAGCAGTGTTGAAACTCTCTTTTGTAGCATCTGCATGTGGACATTTGGAGCACGTGAGGGCTATCGTGGAAAAGGAAAGATCTTCACATAAAAACTAGACAGAAGCATTCTCCGAAACTTCTTTGTGTTGTTTGCATTCAACCCACGGAGTTGAACCATCCTTTTCATTGAGCAGTTTTGAAACACTCTTTTTGTAGAATTTGCAAGTGGATATTTGGACTGCTTTGAGGCCATCGTTGGAAACGGGAATATCTTTACCTAAAAACTAGACAGAAGCATTCTCAGAAACTTCTTTGTGATGTGTGCATTCAACTCACTGAGTTGAACTTTCCTTTTGATAGAGCAGTTTTGAAACACTCTTTTTGTAGAATCTGCATTTGGATATTTGGAGCGCTTTGAGGAATACAGTAGAAAAGGAAATATCTTCATATAAAAACTAGAAAGAAGCAGTCTCAGAAACTACTTTTTGATGTGTGCTTACAACTCACAGAGTTAAACTTTCTTTTGATAGAGCAATTTTGAAACACTCTTTTTGCAGAATCTGCAATTGGATAATTGGGGTGCTTAGAGGCCTATGGTAGAAAAGGAAATATCTACATATAAAAACTAGACAGAAGCATTCTCAGAAACTACTTTGTGATGTGTGCATTTATCTCACAGAGTTTAACTTTTCTTTTGATAGAGCAGTTTTGAAACAATATTTTTGTAGATTCTGAAAGTGGACTTTTGGAGCACATTGAGGGCTGTGGTGGAAAAGGAAATATCTTCACAGAAAAACTAGATAGAAGCATTCTCAGAAACTTCTTTGTGATGAATGCATTCAACTCATAGAAGTGAACACTGCTTTGATAGCTCGGTTTTGAAACACTCTTTTTTAGAATCTGCAAGTGGGTATTTGCAGCCCTTTGAGGCCTATGGTAGAAAAGGAAATATCTTCATATAAAAACTAGAAAGAAGCATTCTCAGAAACTACTATGGGATGTGTGCACTCAACTCACAGAGTTTAACGTTTCTTTTGATATAGCAGTCTTACAACACTCTTTTTGTAGAATCTTCAAGTGGATATTTGGAGCACTTTGAAGGCTAAGTTGGAAAAGGAAATAAATTCACATAAAAACTAGAATGAAGCATTCTCAGAAACGTCTTTGTGATGTTTGCATTTAACTAACAGAGTTGAACATTTCTTTTCATGGAGCAGTTTTGAAACACTCTTTTTGTAGAATCTGCAAGTTGATTTTTGGACTGCTTTCAGGCCTCCGTTGGAAACGGGAATATCCTCAGATAAAAACTAGACAGAAACATTCTCAGAAACTTCTTTGTGATGTGTGCATTCAACACACAGATTTGAACCTTCCTTTTGATAGAGCAGATTTGAAACCCTGTTTTTGTAGAATCTACAAGTGGATAGTTAGAGTGCTTTGAAGCCTTCAATGGAAACAGTAATATCTTCACATAAAAACTAGACAGAAGCATTCACAGAAACATTTGTGATGTGTCCATTCAACTTCGAGAGGTGAACCCCTCTTTTGATTGAGCAGTTTTGAAACACTCTTTTTGTAGAATCTGGAAGTGGATATTTGGAACCCTTTGAGGGCTATGGAGAAAAGGAAATATCTTCACATAAAAACTAGAAAGAAGCATTCTCAGAAACTGCTTTGTGATGTGTACATTCAATTCACAGAGTTTAACCTTTCTTTTGATAGAGCAGTTTTGAAACACTCTTTTTGTAGTGTCTGCATGTGGACATTTGGAGCACTCTGAGGGCAGTGGTGGAAAAGGAAATTCCTTCACATAAAAACTAGACAGAAGCATTCTCAGAAACTTATTGTGATGAGTGCATTCAGCTCACAGATTTGAACCTTCCTTTTAATAAAGCAGTTTTGAAACACTTTTTGCAGAATCTGCAAGTGGATATTTTGAGGGCTTTGAGGCTTACGGTAGAAAAGGAAATATATTCATATAAAAACTAGAAAGAAGCATTCTCAGAAACTACATTGTGAAGTGTGCATTCAACTCACAGAGGTTAACCTTTCTTTCCTTAGAGAAGTTTTGAAATACTCTTTTTGTAGAATCTGCAAGTGGATATTTGAAGCACTTTGAGGGCTATGGTGGAAAAGGAAATATCTTCACATAAAAACTAGACAGAAGCATTCTCACAAACTTCTTTTGATGTGTGCATTCAACTCACAGAGTTGAACCTTTCTTTTGTTAGAGCAGTTTTGAAAAACTCTTTTTGTACAATCTGCAGGTGGATATTTGGACTTATTTGAGGCCTTCATTGGAAATGGGAGTATCTTCACATAAAAACTTGACAGACGCATTCTCAGAAACTACTTTGTGATGTGTGCATTCAACTCACAGAGTTGAGCCTTCCTTTTGATAGAGCAGTTTTGAAACACTCTTTTTGCAGAATCTGCAAGTGGATAGTTTGAGGGCTTTGAGGCTTATGGTAGAAAAGGAAATATATTCATATAAAAACTAGAAAGAAGCATTCTCAGAAACTACTTTGTGAAGTGTGCATTCAACTCACAGAGGTTAACCTTTCTTTTCTTAGAGAAGTTTTGAAACACTCTTTTTGTAGAATCTGCAAGTGGATGTTTGAAGCACTTTGAAGGCTATGGTGGAAAAGGAAATATCTTCACATAAAAACTAGACAGAAGCATTCTCACAAACTTCTTTTGATGTGTGCATTCAACTCACAGAGTTGAACCTTTCTTTTGTTAGAGCAGTTTTGAAAAACTCTTTTTGTAGAATCTGCAGGTGGATATTTGGACTGATTTGATGCCTTCATTGAAAATGGGAGTATCTTCACATAAAAACTTGACAGACGCATTCTCAGAAACTACTTTGTGATGTGTGCATTCAACTCACAGAGTTGAACCTTTCTTTTGATAGAGCAGTTTTGAAACACTCTTTTTGTAGAATCCACAAGTGGATATTAGGAGTGCTTTAAGCCTTCGTTGGAAACTGGAATATCTTCACATAAAAACTAGACAGAAGCATTCTAAGAAACTTCTTTGGAATGTGTGTATTCAGCTCACGGAGTTGAACCCTCCTTTTGATAGAGTGGTTTTGAAACATTCCTTTTCTGTAATCTGCAAGTGGATTTTGGGAATGCTTTGAGGCCTATGGTAGAAAAGGAAATGTCTTCATATAAAAATTAGAAAGAAGCATTCTTAGAAACTACTTTGTGACGTCTGCATTCAACCTAAAGTGTTTAAATTTTCTTTTGATAGAGTAGTTTCAAAAAACTCTTTTTGTAATATCTGCAAGTGGACATTTGGAGCACTTTGAGGTCTATGGTGGAAAAGGATATATCTTTACATAAAAATTAGACAGAAGTATTCTCAGAAACATGTCTGTGATTTCTGCATTCAACTCAGAGAGTTGAGCCTTTCTTTTCATAGAGCAGTTTTGAAACACTCTTTTTGTAGAAACTGCAAGTGCATAATTGTACCCCTTTGAGAACTTCGTTGGAAACGACTTTATCTACACATAAAACTAGATCGAACCATTCTCAGAAACTTCTTTCTGATGTGCTCATTCAACTCACAGAGTTGAACATTCCTTTTGATAGAGCAGTATTGAAATTCTCTTTTTCTAGGATCTGCAAGTGGATTTTTGGAGTGCTTTGAAGTCTTCATTGGAAAAGGGAATATCTTTACATAAAAACTAGACAGAATCATTCTCAGAAACTTCTTTGTGATGTTTGCATTCTACTCACAGAGTTGAACCTTGCTTTTGATGGAGCAGTTTTGAAACACTCTTTTTGTAGAATCTGCTAGTGGATATTTGGAGAGATTGAAGCCTTCTTTGGAAACGGGAATATCTTCACATAAAAACTAGACAGAAGCATTCTCAGAAGCTTCTTTGGGATGAGTGCATCCAACTCAGAGAGTTGAACCTTCCTTTTGATAGAGCAGTTTTGAAACACTTTTTTTTTGTAGAATCTGCAAGTGGACATTTGGAGCACTTGGAGGGCTGTGGTGTAAAAGGAAATATCTTCACATAAAAACTAGACAGAAGCATTCTCAGAAACTTCTTTGTGATGTTCTCATTCAACTCACAGAGTTGAACATTTCTTTTCATAGAACAGTTTTGAAACAATCTTTTTGTAGAATCTGCAAGTGGATATTTGGACTGCTTTGAGGCCTTCTTTGGAAACGGAAATATTTTCCCATAAAAACTAGACTGAAGCATTCTCAGAAACTACTTACTGATGTGTGCATTCATCTCACAGTTTTGAACATTTCTTTCGGTAGAGCAGTTTTGACACACTCTTTTTGTAGAATCTGGAAGTCTATATTTTGAGTCCTTTGAAGCCTTCGTTGGAAACGGGAATATCTTCACATAAAAGCTAGACAGACGCATTCTCACAAACTACTTTGTGATGTGTCCATTCAACTCACAGAGTTGAACTTTCCTTTTGGTAGAGCAGTTTGGAAACACTCTTTTGTAGAGTCTGCAAGTGGATATTCAGAGTGCTTTGAAGCTTCCGTTGGAAACGGGAATATCTTCACATAAAAACTAGACAGAAACATTCTCAGAAACTTCTTTGTGATGTGGGCATTCAACTCACAGAGTTGAACCTTCCTTTTAATAGAGCAGTTTTGAAACACTCTTTTAGTAGAATCTGCAACTGGATATTTGGAGTGCTTTGAAGCCTTCATTGGAAACAGGAATATCTTAACATAAAAACTAGACAGAAGCATTCTCAGAAACTTCTTTGTGATGTGTGCATTCAACCCACAGAGTTGAACCTTCCTTTTGATAGAGCAGTTTTGAAACACTCTTTTTGTAGAATCTGCAGGTGGATATTTGGAGTGCTTTCAGGCCTATGATAGAAAAGGGAATATCTTCATATAAAAACTAGACAGAAGCATTTTCAGAAACTACTTTGTGATGTGTGCATTCAATTCACAGAGTTTAACCTTTCTTTGGATAGAGCAGTTTTGAAACACTCTTTTTTTAGAATCTACAAGTGTACCTTTTTAGCATATTGAGGGCTATAATGGAAAAGGAAACGTATACATATAAAAACTATACCGAAGCATTCTGAGAAACGTTTTGTGACTTTTGCATTCAACTCACAGGGTTGAACATTTCTTTTGATAGAGCAGTTCCGAAACACTCTTTTTGTAGGATCTGCAAGTGGATGTCTTGACCGCTTTGAGGCTTTCGTTGGAAACGGGAATATCTTCACATGAAAACTAGACAGAAGCATTTTCAGAAACTTCATTGTGATGGGTGCATTAAACTCACAGAGTTGAACCTTGCTTTTGATAGAGCAGTTTTGAAACACTCTTTTTGTGGAATCTGCAAATGGATACTTAGAGAGCTTCGAGTCCTTCGTTGGAAACCGGAAAATCTTTACATGAAAACTAGACAGAAGCATTCTAAGAAACTTCTTTGTGGTGTGTGCATTCAACTCACAGATTTGAACCTTACTTTTGATAGAGCAGTTTGGAATCCCTCTTTTTGTTCTATCTGCCAATGTATATTTGGAGTGCTTGGAAGCCTTCGTTGGAAATGGGAATATCTTCACTTAAAAACAAGACATAAGCATTCTTAGAAACTTCTTTGTGATATGTGCATTCAAATCACAGAGTTGAACCTTCTTTTTGATAGAGCAGTTTTGAAGCACTCTTTTTGTAGAGTCTACAAGTGGATATTTGGAGTGCATTGAAGCCTTCCTTGGAAACGGGAATATCTTCACATAAATATTAGGCAGAAGAATTCTCAGAAACCACTTTGTGATGTGTACATTCAGGTAACAAAGTTGAACCCTCCTTTTGATAGAGCAGTTTTGAAACACTCTTTTTGTAGAATCTGGAAGTGGATATTTGGAGTCTTTTGAGTCGTATGGTGGAAAAGGGAATATCTTCATGTAAAAACTAGAAAGAAGCAATCTCAGAAACTACTTTTTGATGTGTGCAGTCAACTCCCAGAGTTTAACCATTCTTTTGGTAGAGCAGTTTAGAAACACTCTTTTTGTATAATCTGCAAGTGGACATTTGGAGTGCTTTGAAGCCTTCTTTGGAAACTAGAATACCTTCACATAAAAATTAGACAGAAGCATTCTCAGAAACTCCTTTGTGATGTGTGTATTCAAGTCACAGAGTTGAACCTTCCTTTTGATAGAGCAGTTTTGATGCACTCTTTTTGTAGAATCTGCAAGTTGATATTTGGACCCATTTGAGGCCTTCGTTGGAAACGGGAATATTTTCACATAAAAACTAGACAGAAGTATTCTCGGAAACTTCTTTGTGATGTGTGTATTCAACTCACAGAGTTGAACCCTCCTTTTGACAGAGCAGTTTTGAAACACTTTTTTTTAGAATCTGCAAGTGGACATTTGGAGCTCTCTGAGGGCTACGGTGGAAAAGGAAATTTCTTCACATGAAAATGAGACAGAAGCATTCCAGAAACTTCTTTGTGATGTTTGCATTCAACTCACAGAGTTGAACCTTTCTTTTCATAGGGAAGTTTTGAAACACTCTTTTTGTAGAATCTTCAAGTGGATATTTGGACTGCTTTGGGGCCTTCATTGGAAACGGGAATATCTTCACATAAAAAGTAGACAGAAGAATTCTCAGAAACTGATTTGCGATATGTGCATTCGACTCAAAGTTTTGAACCTTTTTTTGATACAACAGTTTTGAAACACTCTTTCTGGTGAATCTGCAAATGGCTTTTGGAGCGCTATGAGGCCTATGGTGGAAAAGGAAATATCTTCATATAAAAACTAGAAATGAACATTCTCAGAAACTGATTTTTGATGTGTGCATTCAACTCACAGAGTTTAACCTTTCTATTGATAGAGCAGTTTTGAAACATTCTTTTTATAGGATCTGGAAGTAGACATTTAGAACACTTTGTTGGCTATGGTGGAAAAGGAAATATCTTCACATAAAGTCTAGATGGAAGCATTCTCAGAAACTTCTTTTTGATGTTTGCATTCAACTCACAGAGTTGAAACTTTCTTTTGATAGATCAGTTCTGAAACACTCTTTTTGTAGAATCTGCAAGTGGATATTTTGACCACTATGAGGCTTTCGTTGGAAACGGGAATACCTTCACATAAAACCTAGACAGAAGCATTCTCAGAAACTTCTTTGTGATGTTTGCATTCAACTCACGGAGTTGAACCTTCCTTTTGATAGAGCAGTTTTGAAACACTCTTTTTGTAGAATCTGCAGGTGGATATTTGGAGTGCTTTGGGGCATTCATTGGAATCAGGAATATCTTCACATAAAAACTAGACAGAATAATTCTCAGAAATTACTTTGTGATATGGGCATTCAACTCACAGTTTTGAAACTTCCTTTTGATAAGCAGTTATGAAACACTCTTTTTGGAGAATCTGCAAGTGGATATATGGAGCACTTTGAGGTCTATGGTAGAAAAGGGAATATCTTCATGTAAAAACTAGGCAGAAGCATTCTCAGAAAGTGCTTTGTGATGTGTGCATTAAACTCACAGAGTGTAACATTTCTTTTGATAGAGCAGTTTGAAACACTCTTTTTGTAGAATGTGTAATTGGATATATGGACTGCTTTGAGGACTTCGTTGGAAACGGGAATATCTTCACACAAAAACTAGACAGAAGCATTCACAGAAACTTCTTTTTGATGTGTGCATTCAACAGACAGAGTTGAAACTTTCTTTTGATAGAGCAGTTTTGAATCACTCTCTTTGTAGAATCTGCAAGTGGACACATGTAGCACTTTGACTGGAATGGTGGAAAATGAAATATCTTCACATAAAAATTAGACAGAAGCATTCTCAGAAACTTCTTTGTGATGTTTGCATTCACCTCACAGAGTTGAACCTTTCTTTTCATAGAACAGTTTTGAAACACACTTTTTGTAGAATCTGCAAGTGGATATTTGCACTGCTTTGAGGACTTCGTTGGAAACGTGAATATCTTCACATAAAACTGGACAGAAGCATAGTCAGATGCTTCTTTGTCATGTATGCATTCAACTCACTGAGTTTAAACTTCTCTTTGATAGAGCAGTTTAGAAACACTCTTTTTGTAGAATCTGCAAATGTATATTTGGAGCACTTTGTGGCCTATGCTAGAAAAGGAAATATCTTCATAGAAAAACTAGACAGAAGCATTCTCAGAAACTACTTTGTGATGTGTACATTCAACTCACAGAGTTTAACCTTTCTTTTGATAGAGCAGTTTTGAAACAGTCTTTTTGTATAATTATCAATCTTACATTTGGAGCACTTTGTGGGCTATGGTGGAAAAGGAAACATCTTCTCACAAAAATTAGACAGAAGTATTATGAGAAACTTTTTGTGATGTTTGCATTCAACTCACAGAGTTGAAAATTTCTTTTCATAGAGCAGTTTTGAAACAGTCTTTTTGTACAAACTGCAAGTAGATATTTGGAGTGCTTTTAAGCCTTCAATGGAAACGGGAATATCTTCACATAAAAACTAGACAGAAGAATTCTCCGAAACTTCTTTGTGATGTGTGCATTCAACTCACAGAGCTGAACCTTCCTTTTGATAGAGCAGTTTTGAAACACTCTTTTTGTATAATCAGCAAGTGGATACTTTGAGCCCTTTGAAGCCTTTGGTAGAAAAGAAAATATCTTCACATAAAAACTAGACAGAAGCCTTCTCAGAAACAACTTTGTGACGTGTGCATTCAACTAACAGAGTTCAACCATCCTTTTGATAGAGCAGTTTTGAAACACTCTTTTTGTAGAATCTGCAAGTGGATATTTGGAGCCCTTTGAGGCCTATGGAAGAAAAAAAAAATATCTTTATATAAAAACTAGAAAGAAGGATTCTCATAAACTACTTTGTGATGTGAGCTTTCAACTCACAGAGTTGAACATACCTTTCATAGAGCAGTTTTGAAACACTCTTTTTGTAGAATCTGCAGGTGGATATTTGGAGCCCTTTGAAGCCCATGGTAGAAAAGGAAATATCTTCATATTAAAACCACAGAGAAGCATTCTGAGAAACTACTTTGTGATGTCTGCATCAACTCACAGAATTTAACCTTTCTTTTGAGAGAGCAGTTTTGAAACATTCTTTTTGTACAATTTGCAAGTGGACATTTGGTGCACTTTGAGGACTACGGTGGAAAAGGAACTATCTTCACATAAAAACTAGACAGAAGCCTTCTCAGAAACTTCTTTGTGATGTGTGCATTCAACTCACAGTGTTGAACCTTCATTTTGATAGAGCAGTTTTGAAACATTCTTTTTGAAGTATCCACAAGTGGATATTTGGAGTGCTTTGATGCCTTCATTGGAAACGGGAATATCTTCACATAAAAACTAGACAGAAACATTCTCAGAAAATTATTTGTGTTGTGTGAATTCAACTCACAGAATTGACACTTCCTTTTAATAGAGCAGTTTTGAAACACTCTTTTTGTAGAATCTGCAAGTGCATATTTTAAGTGCTTAGAAGACTTCATTGGAAATGGGAATAACTTCATATAAAATGTAGACAGAGGCATTCTCGGAATCTTCTTTTTGATGTGTGAATTCAAATCACAGAGTTGAACTTTCTTTCCGCAGAGCAGTTTTGAAACAATCTTTTTGTAGAATCTGCAAGGGGATAGTTGGAGTACTTTGAATTGTTCGTTGGAAATGGGAATAACTTCTCAAAAAAAGTAGACAGAAGCATTCTCAGTAACAGCTTTGTGATGTGTGCATTCAACTCACAGAGTTGAACACTTCTTTTCATAGAGCAGTTTTGAAACACTGTTTTTGTAGAATGTGCAAGTGTATATTTGGAGTCATTTGAGGCCTATGGTAGAAAAGGAAATATCTTCATATAAAAACTAGAAAGGAGCATTCTCAGAAACTATTTTGTGATGTGTGCATTCCACACACAGAGTTTAACCTTTCTTTTGATAGAGCAGTTTTGAAACACTCTTTTTGTAGAATCTGCAAGTGGACATTTGGAGCACTTTGAGGGCTATGGTGGAAAAGGAAATATCTTCACATAAAAACTAGATAGAAGAATTATCAGTAACTTCTTTGTGATGTTTGCATTCAACTCACAGAGTTGAACCTTTCTTTTCATAGAACAGTTTTGAAACACTCTTTTTGTAGAATCTGCAAGTTGATATTTGGAGTGCTTTGAAGCCTTGGTGGGTAACGGGAATATCTTCCCATAAAACTAGACAGACGCATTCTCAGAAATTCGTTGGTTGTGTGTGAATTCAACTCATAGAGTTTAAGCTTTGTTGTGATAGAGCAGTTTTGCAAACACTCTTTTTGTAAAATCTGCAAGTGGATATTTGGAATCCTTCATATGAAAACTAGAAAGAAGCTGTCTCAGAAATTACTTCAGGATATTTGCATTCAACTCAGAGAGTTGAACCATTCTTTTGATAGAGCAGTTTTGCAACACACTTTTTGTAGAATCTGCAAGTGGATATTTGTAGCTCTTTGAGGCCTGTGGTAGAAAAGGATATATCTTCATATAAAAAGTAGAAAGAAGCATTCTCAGAAACTAATTTGGGAAGTGTGCATTCAACTAACAGAGTTGAACATTTCTTTTGAAAGAGCAGTTTTGAAACACTCTTTTTGTACAATCTGCAAGTGGATATTTGGAGTGCTTTAAAGCCTTCATTGGAAACGGGAATATCCTCAAATAAAAACTAGACAGAAGCATTCTCAGAAACTCCTTTGTGATGTGTCCATTCAACACACAGAGTATAACATTTCTTTCTATAGAGCAGTTTTGAAACACTCCTTTTCTAGAATCTGCAAGTGGACATTTGGAGCACTTTGTGGTCTATGGTGGAAAAGGAAATATCTTCACATAAAAACTAGACAAAAGCATTCTCAGAAAAATCTTTGTGATGTGTACATTCAACTCAGAGAGTTCAACCTTTCTTTTGGTAGAGCAGTTTTGAATCATTCTTTTTGTAGAATCTGCAAGTGGTTGTTTTGAACCCTTTGAGGCCTATGGTAGAAAATGTAATATCTTCATATCAAAACTAGACTGAAGCATTCTCAGAAACTACTTTTTGTTGTGTACATTCAACTCAGAGAGTTGAAACTTTGTTTTGATATAGCAGTTTTGAAACACTCTTTTTGTAGAATCTGCAAGTGGACATATCGAGCTTTTTGAGGTATTCGGTGGAAAAGGAAGTATCTTCCCCTATAAACCAGACAGAATCATTCTCAAAAACTTCTTTGTGATATGTGCATTCAACTCACAGAGATGAACCTTCCTTTTTATAGAGCAGTTTTGAAATACTCTTTTTGTACAATCTACAGGTGGATATTTGGAGTGCTTTGAAGCCTTCATTGGAAACGGGAATATCTTCACATAAAAACTAGAAAGAAGCATTCCCAGAAACTTCTTTGTGATGTTTGCCTTCAACTCACAGAGTTGAACCTTCTTTTTGATAGAGAGTTTTGAAACACTCTTTTTATAGAATCTGCATGTGGATATTTGGAGCGCTTTGAGACCTATTGTAGAAAATGAAACATCTTCTAATAAAAACTAGATGGAAGCATTCTCAGAAACTACTTTGTGATGTTCGTATTCAACTCAGAGGGTTGAACCTTTCCTTTGATAGAACAGTTTTGAATCACTCTTTTTGTAGTATCTGCAAGTGGATATTTGGACAGCTTTGAGGCTTTCTTTGGAAACGGGAATATCTTTACATAAAAACTAGACAGAAGCATTCTCAGAAAAGTCTTTTTGATGTGTGCATTCAGCTCACAGAGTTGAACCTTCCTTTTGATAGAGCAGTTTTGAGACACTCTTTTTGTAGAATCTGTAAGTGGATATTTGAAGTGATTTGAAGCCTTCAAAGGAAACGGGAATATCATAAAAACTAGATAGAATCATTCTCAGAAACTTCTACGTTATGTTTGCATTCAACTCAGAGAGTTGAACGTTTCATTTCATACATCAGTTTTGCAGCACTCTTTTTGTAGAATCTGCAAATGGACACTTGCAGCACTTTGAAGGCTATGGTGGAAAAGGAAATATCTTTACATAAAAACTAGACAGAAGCATTCTCAGAAACATCTTTGTGATGTTTTCATTCAACTCAGAGAGTTGAACATTTCTTTTGATAAAGCAGTTTTGAAACACTCTTTTTCTAGAATCTGAAAGTGAATATTTGGAGTGCTTTGAAGCTTTCATTGGAAACAGGAATATCTTCACATAAAAACTAGACAGAAACGTTCTCAAAGACTACTTTTTAATGTGTGCATTCAACTCAGAGAGTTTAACCTTTCTTTGATATACCAGTTTTGAAACACACTTTTTGTAGAATCTGCAAGTGGACATTTGGAGCACTTTGAGGGCTATGGTAGAAAAGGAAATATCTTCACATAAAAACTAGACAGAAGCATTCTCAGTAAGTTTTTTGTGATGTTTGCCTTCAACTCAGAGAGTTGAACCTTTCTTTTGATAGAGCAGTTTTGAAACACTCTTTATGTAGGATCTGCAAGTGGATATTTGGACCGCTTTGAGGCCTTCGTTGGAAACGGGAATATCTTCACATAAAAACTAGACAGAAGGATTCTCATAAACATTTTTGTGACGTGTGCCTTCATCTCACAGAGTTGAACGTTCCTTTTGATAGAGCAGTTTTGAAACACTCTTTGTAGAATGTGCAAGTCGATATTTCGAGTGCTTTGAAGCCTTCATTGGAAAAGGGAATATCTTCAAATAAAAACTAGTGAGAAGCATTCTCAGAAACTTCTATGTGATGGGGGCATTCAACTCACGGAGTTGAACCCTCCTTTTGATAAGGCAGTTTTGAAACGCTCTTTTTGTAGAATCTGAAATTGGATATTTGGAGTGATTTGAGGGCTACAGGGCAAAAGAAAATATCTTCATATAAAAACTACGCAGAAGCATTCTCAGAAACTACTTTGTGATGAGTGCATTCAACTCACAGTGTTGAACCTTTCTTTTGATAGAGCAGTTTTGAAACACTCTTTTTGTAGAATCTGCAAGTGGACATTTGGAGCACTTAGAGGGCCATGGTGGAAAGGGAAATATCTTCACATAAAAACTAGACAGAAGCATTCCCACAAACTTCTTTGTGATATTTGTATTCCACTCAAGGAGTTGAACCATTCTCTTCATAGAGCAGTTTTGAAGCACTTTTTTTGTAGAACCTGCAAGTGGATATTTGGACCACTTTGAGGTCTTCCTTGGAAACGAGAATATCTTCACATAAAAAGTAGACTGAAGCATTCTCAGAAACTTCCTTGTGATGTCTCCTTACAACTCACAGAATTTAACCTTTCTTTTGATAGAACAATTTTAAAACACTCTTTTTGTAGAATCTGCCAGTGGATAATTGGAGTGCTTTGAACTCTTCGTTGGAAACGGGAATATATTCACATAAAAACTAGACAGGAGCATTCTCAAAAGCTGTTTTGCGATGTGTCCATTCAACTCACAGATTTTAACATATGTTTTGACGGAGCAGATTTGAAACACTCTTTTTGTAGAATCTGCAATTGGACATTTTGAGCACTTCGAGGGCTATGGTGGAAAAGGAAATATCTTCACATAAAAACTAGACAGAAGCATTCTCAGAAGCTTCCTTGTGATGTTTGCATTCAACTCAGAGAGTTGAACATTTCTTTTGATAGATCCGTTTTGAAACACTCTTTTTCAAGGTTCTGCAAGTGGATATTTAGATGGCTATGAGGTCTTCTTTGGAAACAAGAATACCTTCACATAAAATCTAGACAGAAGCATTCTCAGAAACTTCTTTGACATGTGTGCATTCAACTCACCCAGTTGAATCTTCCTCTTGATAGAGCCATTTTGAAACATTCTTTTTGTAGTATCTGCAAGTGGATGTCTGGATTGCTTTGAAGCATCCCTTGGAAATGGGAATATCTTCAAATGAAAAGTAGACAGAAGCATTCTCATAAACTTTTTTGTGATGTGTGCATTCAACTCACAGATTTGAAATCTCCTTTTGATAGAGCTGTTTTGAAACACTATTTTTGTAGAATCTGCAAGTGGATATTTGGAGTGCTTTGAAGCCTAAGGCAAAAAGGAGATATCTACATATAAAAACGAGACAGAAGCATTCTGAGAAACTTCTTTGTGATGTGTGCATTCAACCCACAGATTTCAACCTTTCTTTGGATAGAGCAGATTGGAAACACTCTTTTTTTAGAATCTGCAAGTGGATATTTGGCCAGTTTTCAGGCCTTTATTGGAAATGGGAATATCTTCACATAAAAACTAGACAGAAGCATTCTCAGAAGCTTCTTTGTGATGTTTGCATTCAACTCAGAGAGTTGAACATTTCTTTTGATAGCGCCGTTTTGAAACACTCTTTCTGAAGGATCTGCAAGTGGATATTTGGACGGCTATGAGGTCTTCTTTGGAAACGGGAATATCTTCACATAAAATCTAGACAGAAGCATTCTCAGAAACTTCTTTGTCATGTGTGCATTCAACTCACCCAGTTGAATCTTCCTCTTGATAGAGCAGTTTTGAAACACTCTTTTTGTAGTATCTGCAAGTGGATGTTTGGATTGATTTGAAACATCCGTTGGAAATGGGAATATCTTCAAATGAAAAGTAGACAGAAGCATTCTCAGAAACTTTTTTGTGATGTGCGCATTCAACTTACAGATTTGAAATCTCCTTTTGATAGAACTGTTTTGAAACGCTATTTTTGTATAATCTGCAAGTGGATATTTGGAGTGCTTTGAAGCCTATGGCAAAAAGGAAATATCTACATATAAAAACAAGACAGAAGCATTCTGAGAAACTTCTTTGTGATGTGTGCATTCAACCCACAGATTTCAACCTTTCTTTGGATAGAGCAGATTGGAAACACTCTTTTTTTAGAATCTGCAAGTGGATATTTGGCCAGCTTTCAGACCTTCATTGGAAATGGGAATATCTTCACATAAAAACTAGACAGAAGCATTTTCAGAAACTTGTTTGTGATGTGTGCTTTCAACTCACAGAGTTGAACCTTCCTTTTGATAGAGCAGTTTTGAGACACTCTTTTTCTAGAATGTGCACATGGATATTTAGACTGGTTTGTGGTCTTCGTTGGAAATGGAATACCTTCCCATAAATACTAGACAGAAGCATTCTCAGAAACTTCTCTGTGATGTGTGCATTCAACTCACAGAGTTGAATCGTCCGTTTGGTAGAACTGTTTTTAGACACTCTTTTTGTAGAATATGCAAGTGGATATTTCGAGTGCTTTGAAGCCTTCATTGGAATGAGAATATCTTCAAATAAAAACTAGACAGAAGCACTCTCAGAAACTTCTTTGGATTGGTGAATTCAACTCACAGAGTTTAACCTTTCTTTTGATAGAGCAGTTTTGAAACCCTCTTTTTGTAGAATCTGCAAGTGGACATTTAGAGCTCTTTGATGGCTATGGTGGAAAAGGAAATATCTTCACATAAAAACTAGATGGAAGCATTCTCAGAAACTTCTTTGTAATGTGTGCATTCAGCTCACAGAGTTCATCCTTTCTTTTGATACAGCAGTTTTGAAACACACTTTTTGCAGAATCTGCAAGTTGACATTTGAAGCAATTTGAGGGCTATGGTGGAAAAAGAAATATCTTCACATAAAAATTAGACAGAAGCATTCTCAGCACCTTCTTTGTGATATTTGCATTCAACTCACAGAGTTTAACCTTTCTTTTGATAGAGCAGTTTTGAAACCCTCTTTTTGTAGAATCTGCAAGTGGACATTTAGAGCTCTTTGATGGCTATGGTGGAAAAGGAAATATCTTCACATAAAAACTAGATGGAAGCATTCTCAGAAACTTCTTTGTAATGTGTGCATTCAGCTCACAGAGTTCATCCTTTCTTTTGATACAGCAGTTTTGAAACACACTTTTTGCAGAATCTGCAAGTTGACATTTGAAGCAATTTGAGGGCTATGGTGGAAAAAGAAATATCTTCACATAAAAATTAGACAGAAGCATTCTCAGCACCTTCTTTGTGATGTTTGCATTCAACTCACAGAGTTGAAACTGTCTTTTGATAGAGCAGTTTTGAAACACTCTTTTTGTAGAATCTGCAAGTCGATATTTGGTCTGCTTTGAAGCCTTCGTTGGAAATGGGAATATCTTCACCTAAAAACTAGACAGAAGCATTCTCAGAAACTTCTTTTTGATGTTTGCATTCAACTCACAGAGTTGCACCTTCCTTTTGATACAGCAGTTTTGAAACACTCTTTGTAGAATACACAAGTGGATATTTGGAGTGCTTTGAAGCCTTCATTGGAAAGGGGAATATCTTCACATGAAAAGTAGACAGAAGGATACTCAGAAACTACTTTGTGATGTGTGCATTCAACTCACAGATTTGAACTCTCCTTTTGATAGAGCAGTTTTGAAACACTCTTTTTGTAGAATCTTCCCGTGGATATTTGGAGCCCTTTAAGGCCTCTGGTGGAAAAGTCAATTTCTTTATATTAAAACTAGAAAGAAGCATTCTCAGAAACTAGTCTCTGATGTGAGCATTCAACTCACAGATTTTTACCTTTCTTTTGATAGGGCAGTTTTGAAACACTCTTTTTGTAGAATCTGCAAGTGAATATTTTGACTGCTTTGAGGAATTCTTTGGAAACGATATTTTCACATAAATACCAGACAGAAGCATTCTCAGAAACTTCTTTGTGATGTTTGCATTCAACTCACAGAGTTGCACCTTCCTTTTGATACAGCAGTTTTGAAACACTCCTTGTAGAATACACAAGTGGATATTTCGAGTGCTTTGAAACCTTCATTGGAAAGGGGAATATCTTCACATGAAAAGTAGACAGAAGGATACTCAGAAACTACTTTGTGATGTGTGCATTCAACTCACAGATTTGAACTCTCCTTTTGATAGAGCAGTTTAAAACACTCTTTTTGTAGAATCTTCCCGTGGATATTTGGAACCCTTTAAGGCCTCTGGTGGAAAAGTCAATTTCTTTATATTAAAACTAGAAAGAAGCATTCTCAGAAACTAGTCTCTGATGTGAGCATTCAACTCACAGATTTTTACCTTTCTTTTGATAGGGCAGTTTTGAAACACTCTTTTTGTAGAATCTGCAAGTGAATATTTTGACTGCTTTGAGGAATTCTTTGGAAACGATATTTTCACATAAATACCAGACAGAAGCATTCTCAGAAACTTCTTTGTGATGTTTGCATTCAACTCACAGAGTTGAACGTTTCTTTTCATAGAGCAGTACTGAAACACTCTTTTGGTAGAATCTGCAATTGGATATTTGGAACGGTTTGAGGCTTATGGTAGAAAAGGGAATATCTTCATATAAAAACTATACAGAAGTTTTCTCAGAAACATCTCTGTGATGTGTGCTTACAACTCACAGGATTTAACATTTCTTTTGATAGAGCAGTTTTGAAACATTCTTTTTGTAGGATCTGCAAGTGGATAATTGGAGTGCTTTGAAGCCTTCGTTGGAAAAGGGAATATCCTCACCTAATAACTAGACAGAAGCATTTTCAAAAACTACTTTGTGATGTGTGCATTCAACTCACAGAGTTTAACCTATCTTTTGAGAGAGCAGTTTTGAATCACTCTTATTGCAGAATCTGCGGGTGGACATTTAGATTACCTTGAGAGTTATGGTGGAAAAGGAAATATCTTCACATAAAAACTAGACAGAAGCATTCTCTGAAACTTCCTTGTGATGTTTGCACTCAACTCAGAGAGTTAAACATTTCTTTTGCTAGAGCAGTTTTGAAACACACTTTTTGTGGAATCTGCAAGTGGATATTTTAATCACTTTGTGTCCTTTGTGGGAAACGGGAATATCTTCACATAAATACTGGACACAAGCATTCTCAGAAACTTCCTTGTGATGTGTGAATTCAACTCACAGAGTTGAATCTTCCTTTTGATAGAGTAGTTTTGAAACACTCTTTTTGTAGTATCTGCAAGTGTATATATGGAGTGCTTTGAAGCCTTCATTGGAAACGGGAATATCTTCATCTAAAAACTAGAAAGAAGCATTCTCAAATACTGCTTTGTGATGTGTGCAATCAACTCACAGAGTTTAACCTATCTTTTGATAGAGCATTTTTGAAACACACTTATTGTAGAATCTGCAAGTGGATATTTGGAGCACTTTGAGGGTTATGGTGCAAAAGGAAATATCTTCACATAAACTAGACAGAAGCATTCTCAGAAACTTCATTGTGAAATTTGCATTCAACTCAGAGAGTTAAACATTTCTTTTGCAAGAGCAGTTTTGAAACACTCTTTTTGAGAAGTCTGCAAGTGGATATTTTGAGTGCTTTCTGTTCTAAGTTGGAAACGGGAATATCTTCATATGAACACTGGACAGAAGCATACTCAGAAACTTCCTTGTGATGTGTACATTCAACTCACATAGTTGAACTTTCCTTTTGATAGAGCAGTTTTGAAACACTCTTTTTGTAGTATCTGCAAGTGGATATTTGGAGTCCTTTGAAGCCTTCTTTCGAAACGGGAATACCTTCACATAAAAAGTAGACAGAAGGATTCTTAAAAAACTCCTTTGTGGAAGATGGCCGAATAGGAACAGCTCTGGTCTACAGCTCCCAGAGTGAGCGACGCAGAAGACGGGTGATTTCTGCATTTCCATCTGAGGTACCAGGTTCATCTCACTAGGGAGTGCCAGAGAGTGGGCACAGGTCAGTGGGTGCGTGCACCGTGTGTGAGCCGAAGCAGGGCGAGGCATTGCCTCACTTGGGAAGTGCAAGGGGTCAGGGAGTTCCCTTTCCAAGTCAAAGAAAGGGGTGACAGAGGCACCTGGAAAATCGGGTGACTCCCACCAGAATACTGCACTTTTCCGACCGGCTTAAAAATCGGCGCACCACGAGATTATATCCCGCAACTGGCTGGGAGGGTCCTAAGCCCACGGAGTCTTGCTAATTGCTAGCACAGCAGTCTGAGATCAAACTGCAAGGCAGCAGCTAGGCTGGGGGAGGGGCGCCCATAATTTCCCTGGCTTGCTTAGGTAAACAAAGCAGCCGGGAAGCTCGAACTGGGTGGAGCCCACCACAGCTCAAGAGGCCTGCCTGCCTCTGTAGGCTCCACCTCTGGGGGCAGGGCACAGACAAACAAAAAGACAGCAGTAACCTCTGGAGACTTAAATGTCCCTGTCTGACAGCTTTGAAGAGAGCAGTGGTTCTCCCAGCACGCCGCTGGAGATCTGAGAATGGGCAGACTGCCTCCTCAAGTGGGTCCCTGACACCTGACACCCGAGCAGCTAACTGGGAGGCACCCCCCAGCAGGGGCACACTGACACCTCACATGGCAGGGTATTCCAACAGACCGGCAGCTGAGGCTCCTGTCTGTTGGAAGGAAAACTAACAAACAGAAAGGACATCCACACCAAAAACCCATCTGTACATCACCATCATCAAAGACCAAAAGTAGATAAAACCACAAAGATGGGGAAAAAACAGAACAGAAAAACTGGAAACTCTAAAAAGCAGAGCGCCTCTCCTCCTCCAAAGGAATGCAGTTCCTCACCAGCAATGGAACAAAGCTGGATGGAGAATGACTTTGACAAGCTGAGAGAAGAAGGCTTCAGACAATCAAATTACTCTGAGCTACGTGAGGACATTCAAACCAAAGGCAAAGAAGTTGAAAACTTTGAAAAAAATTTAGAAGAACGTATAACTAGAATAACCATAACCAATACAGAGAAGTGCTTAAAGGAGCTGATGGAGCTGAAAACTAAGGCTCGAGAATCACGTGAAGAATGCAGAAGCCTCAGGAGCCGATGCGATCAACTGGAAGAAAGGGTATCAGCGATGGAAGATGAAGTGAATGAAATGAAGCGAGAAGGGAAGTCTAGAGAAAAAAGAATAAAAAGAAATGAGCAAAGTCTCCAAGAAATATGGTACTATGTGAAAAGACCAAATCTACGTCTGATTGGTGTACCTGAAAGTGATGGGGAGAATGGAACCAAGTTGGAAAACACTCTGCAGGATATTATCCAGGAGAACCTCCCCAGTCTAGCAAGGCAGGCCAACGTTCAGATTCAGGAAATACAGAGAACGCCACAAAGATACTCCTCGAGAAGAGCAACTCCGAGACACATAATTGTCAGATTCACCAAAGTTGAAATGAAGGAAAAAATGTTAAGGGCAGCCAGAGAGAAAGGTCGGGTTACCCTCACGAAGGGAAGCCCATCAGACTAACAGTGGATCTCTCGGCAGAAACCCTACAAGCCAGAAGACAGTGGGGGCCAATATTCAACATTCTTAAAGAAAAGAATTTTCAACCCAGAATTTCATATCCAGCCAAACTAAGCTTCATAAGTGAAGGAGAAATAAAATACTTTACAGACAAGCAAATGCTGAGAGATTTTGTCACCACCAGGCCTGCCCTAAAAGAGCTCCTGAAGGAAGCACTCAACATGGAAAGGAACAACCGGTACCAGCCACTGCAAAATCATCCCAAAATGTAAAGACCATCGAGACTAGGAAGAAACTGCATCAACTAATGAGCAAAATAACCATCTAACGTCATAATGACAGGATCAAATTCACACATAACAATATTAACTTTAAATGTAAATGGACTAAATGCTCCAATTAAAAGACACAGACTGGCAAATTGGATAAAGAGTCAAGACCCATCAGTGGGCTGTATTCAGGAAACCCATCTCACATGCAGAGACACACATAGGCTCAAAATAAAAGGATGGAGGAATATCTACCAAGCAAATGGAAAACAAAAAAGGCAGGGGTTGCAATCCTAGTCTCTGATAAAACAGACTTTAAACCAACAAAGATCAAAAGAGACAAAGAAGGCCATTACATAATGGTAAAGGGATCAATTCAACAAGAAGAGTGAACTATCCTAAATATATATGCACCCAATACAGGAGCACCCAGATTCATAAAGCAAGTGCTTAGTGACCTACAAAGAGACTTAGACGCCCACACATTAATAATGGGAGACTTCAACACCCCACTGTCAACATTAGACAGATCAACGAGACAGAAAGTCAACAAGGATACCCAGAAATTCAACTCAGCTCTACACCAAGCAGACCTAATAGACAACTACAAAACTCTCCACCCCAAATCAACAGAATATACATTTTTTTCAGCACCACACCACACCTATTCCAAAATTGACCACATACTTGGAAGTAAAGCTCTCCTCAGCAAATGGAAAAGGTCAGAGATTATAACAAACTATCTCTCAGACCACAGTGCAATCAAACTAGAGCTCAGGATTAAGAATCTCACTCAAAACCGCTCAACTACATGGAAACTGAAAAACGTACTCCGGAATGACTACTGGGTACATAACGAAATGAAGGCAAAAATAAAGATGCTCTTTGAAACCAACGAGAACAAAGACACCACATACCAGAATCTCTGGGACACATTCAAAGCAGTGTGTAGAGGGACATTTATAGCACGAAATGCCCACAAGAGAAAGCAGAAAAGATCCAAAATTGACACCCGAACATCACAATTAAAAGAACTAGAAAAGCAAGAGCAAACACATTCAAAAGCTAGCAGAAGGCAAGAAATAACTATAATCAGAGCAGAACTGAAGGAAATAGAGACACAAAAAAACCCTTCAAAAAATTAAGGAATCCAGGAGCTGGTTTTGTGAAAGGATCAACAAAATTGATAGACTGATAGCAAGACTAATAAAGAAAAAAAGAGAGAAGAATCAAATAGACACAATAAAAAATGATAAAGGGGATATAACCACTGATCCCACAGAAATACAAACTACCATCAGAGAATACTACAAACACCTCTACACAAATAAACTAGAAAATCTAGAAGAAATGGATACATTCCTCAACACATACACTCTCCCAAGACTAAAACAGGGAGAAGTTGAATCTCTGAATACACCAATAACAGGATCTGAAATTGTGGCAATATTCAATAGTTTACCAACCAAAAAGAGTCCAGGACCAGATGGATTCACAGCCGAATTCTACCAGAGGTACAAGGAGGAGCTGGTATTCTTCTTTCTGAAACTATTCCAATCAATAGAAAAAGAGGGATTCCTCCCTAACTCATTTTATGAGGCCAGCATCATGCTGATACCAAACCCAGGCAGAGACACAATGAACAAAGAGAATTTTAGACCAATATCCTTGATGAACATTGATGCAAAAATCCTCAATAAAATACTGGCAAAACGTATCCAGCAGCACATCAAAAAGCTTATATACCATGATCAAGTGGGCTTCATCCTGGGATGCAAGGCTGGTTCAATATATGCAAATCAATAAATGTAATCCAGCATATAAAGAGAGCCAAAGAAAAAAACCACATGATTATCTCAATAGATGCAGAAAAAGCCTTTGACAAAATTCAACAACCCTTCATGCTAAAAACTCTCAATAAATTAGGTGTTGATGGGACGTATCTCAAAATAATAAGAGCTATCTATGACAATCCCACAGCCAATATCATATTGAATGGGCAAAAACTGGAAGCATTCCCTTTGAAAACTGGCAAAAGACAGGGATGCCCTCTCTCACCACTCCTATTCAACATAGTGTTGGAAGTTCTGGCCAGGGCAATTAGGCAGGAGAAGGAAATAAAGGGTATTCAATTAGGAAAAGAGGAAGTCGAATTGTCCCTGTTTGCAGACGACATGATTGTATATCTAGAAAACCCCATTGTTTCGTCACAAAATCTCCTTCAGCTGATAAGCAACTTCAGCAAAGTCTCAGGATACAAAATCAATGTACAAAAATCACAAGCATTCTTATACACCAACAACAGACAAACAGAGAGCCAAATCATGAGTGAACTCCCATTCACAATTGCTTCCAAGAGAATAAAATACCTAGGAATCCAACTTACAAGGGATGTGAAGGACCTCTTCAAGGAGAACTACAAACCACTGCTCAAGAAAATAAAAGAGGATACAAACAAATGGAAGAACATTCCATGCTCATGGGTAGGAAGAATCAATATCGTGAAAATGGCCATACTGCCCAAGGTAATTTACAGATTCAATGCCATCCCCATCAAGCTACCAATGACTTTCTTCACAGAATTGAAAAAAACTACTTTAAATTTCATATGGATCCAAAAAAGAGCCTGCAATACCAAGTCAATCCTAAACCAAAAGAACAAAGCTGGAGGCATCACACTACCTGACTTCAAACTATACTACAAGGCTACAGTAACCAAAACAGCATGGTACTGGTACCAAAACAGAGATATAGATCAATAGAACAGAACAGAGCCCTCAGAAATAACACCACATATCTACAACTATCTGATCTTTGACAAACCTGAGAAAAACAAGCAATGGGGAAAGGATTCCCTATTTAATAAATGGTGCTGGGAAAACTGGCTAGCCATATGTAGAAAGCTGAAACTGGATCCCTTCTTTACAACTTATAGAAAAATCAATTCCAGATGGATTAAAGACTTAAACATTAGACCTAAAACCATAAAAACCCTAGAAGAAAACCTAGGCATTACTATTCAGGCCATAGGCATGGGCAAGGACTTCATGTCTAAAACACCAAAAGCAATGGCAACAAAAGACAAAATTGACAAATGGGATCTAATTAAACTAAAGAGCTTCTGCACAGCAAAAGAAACTACCATCAGAGTGAACAGGCAACCACAAAATGGGAGAAAATTTTCACAACCTACTCATCTGACAAAGGGCTAATATCCAGAATCTACAATGAACTCAAACAAATTTACAAGAAAAAAACAAACAACCCCATCAAAAAGTGGGTGAAGCACATGAACAGACACTTCTCAAAAGAAGACATTTATGCAGCCATAAAACACATGAAAAAATGCTCATCATCACTGGCCATCAGAGAAATGCAAATCAAAACCACAATGAGATACCATCTCACACCAGTTAGAATGGCAATCATTAAAAAGTCAGGAAACAACAGGTGTTGGAGAGGATGTGGAGAAATAGGAACACTTTTACACTGTTGGTGGGACTGTCAACTAGTTCAACCATTGTGGAAGTCAGTGTGGCGATTCCTCAGGGATCTAGAACTAGAAATACCATTTGACCCAGCCATCCCATTACTGAGTATATACCCAATGGACTATAAATCATGCTGCTATAAAGACACATGCACACATATGTTTATTGTGGCATTATTCACAATAGCAAAGACTTGGAACCAACCCAAATGACCAACAATGATAGACTGGATTAAGTAAATGTGGCACCTATACACCATGGAATACTATGCTGCCATAAAAAATGATGAGTTCATGTCCTTTGTAGGGAGATGGATGAAATTGGAAATCATCATTCTCAGTAAACTATCACAAGAACAAAAAACCAAACACCACATATTCTCACTCATAGGTGGGAATTGAACAATGAGATCACATGGACACATGAAGGGGAATATCACACTCTGGGGACTGTGGTTGGGTGGGGGGAGGGGGGAGGGATAGCATTGGGAGATATACCTAATGCTAGATGACAAGTTAGTGGGTGCAGCACACCAGCATGGCACATGTATACATATGTAACTAAGCTGCACAATGTGCACATGTACCCTAAAATATAAAGTATAATAAATAAATAAATAAATAAAAGAAGTTACTGAAAAATAAAATAAAATAAAATAAAATAAAATAAAATACTCTATAAAAAGAAAAAAACTACTTTGTGAAGTGTGCATTCAACTCACAGAGTTGAACACTCCTTTTGATAGAGAAGTTTTGAAACACCCTTTTTGTAGTATATACATGGGAACATTTTGATCCCTTTAAGGCCTCTGGTAGAAAAGGCAATTCCTTTATATAAAAACAGGAAAGAAGCATTCTCAGAATCTAGTTTCTGATGTGCGCTTTGAACTCACAGAGTTGAACCTTGTTTTTGATAGAGCAGTTTTGAAACACTCTTTTTGTAGAATCTGCAAGTGGATAATTGGAGAACTTTGATGTCTTCGTTGGAAACGGCTATATCTTCACATAAAAAAAGACATATGCAGTATCAGAAACTTCTTTGTGTTGTGTGCTTTCAACTCACAGAGTTGAACCTTACTTTTGATAGAGCAGTTTTGAAACACTTTTTTTGTAGAATCTGCAAGTGGATATTTCTAGTGGTTAGAAGCATTCGTTAGAAACGGGAATATCTCCGCGTAAAAACTAGACAGAAGCATTCTCAGAAACTTCTTAATGAGCGCATTCAACTCATAGAGTTGAAGCTTTCTTTTGATAGAGCAGTTTTGAAAGCCTCTTTTTGTAGAATATGCAAGTGGATATTTGGAGTGCTTTGAAGCCTTCGTTGGAAACGGGAATACCTTCACATAAAAAGTAGACAGAAGGATTCTCAGAAACTACTTTGTGATGTGTGCATTCAACTCACAGATTTGAACCTTCCTTTTGATAGAGCAGTTTTGAAACACTCTTTTTGTAGTATATGCAAGTGGATATTTGGAGTGCTTTGAAGCTTTCATTGGAAAGGGGAATATCTTCCCATAAAAAGTAGACAGAAGGATTCTGAGAAACTACTTTTTGATGTGTTCATTCAACTCACAGAGTTGAACACTGCTTTTGATAGAGAAGTTTTGAAACACTCTTCTTGTTGAACCTACACATGGATACTGGGATCTCTGTAAGGTCTCTGGTAGAAAAAGCAATTTCTTTATATAAAAACCAGAGGGAAGCATTCTCAGAATCTAGTTTCTGATGTGTGCATTCAACTCACAGATTTCAACCTTTCTTTTGATGGAACAGTTTTGAGACACTTTTTGTGGTATCTGCAAGTGGATATTTTGACTGCTTTGAGGAATTCGTTGGAAACGGGAATATCTTCACATAAATACCACACAGAGGCATTCTCAAAAACTTCCTTGTGATACGTGCATTCAACTGACAGAGTTGAATCTTCCTTTGGATCTAGCAGTTTTGAAACACTCTTTTGGTAGTATCTGCTTGTGTATATTTGGAGTGCTTTGAAGCCTTCTTTGGAAACGGAAATATATTCACAAAGAAACTAGACGGAAGCATTCTCAGAAACTTCCTTGTGATGTGAGCATTCAACTCACAGAGTTGAACCTTCCTTTTGATATAGCAGTTTTAAAAAACGTTTTTTGTAGAATCTGCAAGTGGATTGTTGGACTACTTTGAAGTCTTCATTGGAAACGGCTATATTTTCACCTAAAAACAAGACAGATGCATTCTCAGAAACTTTTTTGTGATGTGCCCATTCAACTCACAGAGCTGAACCGTCCTATTGATAGAGCAGTACTGAAAGACTCCTTTGGTACAATCTCCATGTGGATATTTTGACCGCTTGGTGTCCTTCTTTGGAAACGGGAATATCGTCACAAAAAACTGGACAGAAGCATTCTCAGAAACTTCCGCGTGATATGTGCATTCAACTCACAGAGTTGGACCTTCCTTTTGATAGAGCAGTTTTGAAACACTCTTTTTGTGGTAGCTGCAAGTGCATATTTGGTGTGCTTTGAAGCTTCCGTTGGAAACGGGAATATATTCACATAAAAACTAGACAGAAGCATTCTCAGAAACTTCCCTGTGATGTGTGCATTAAACTCACAGAGTTGAACGTTCCTTTTGATAGAGCAGTTTTGAGACTAACTTTTTGTAGAATCTGCAAGTGGATAATTGCAGTAATTTGAAGTCTTCATTGCAAACGTCTATATCTTTACATGAAAACTAGACAGATGCATTTTCAGAAACTTCTTTGTGATGTGTGCATTCAACTCACAGAGTTGAACCTTCCTTTTGATAAAGCAGTTTTGAAACACTCTTTTTGTAGAATCTGCAAGTGGATAATTCTAGTGTTTATAAACCTTCACTGGAAACGGGAATATCTCCACATAAAAACTAGACAGAAGCATTCTCAGAAACTTCTTTATGATGTGTGCATTCAACTCACAGAGTTGAACATTCCTTTTGATAGAGCAGTTTTTAAACACTCTTTTTGTAGAATATGCAAGTGGATATTTGGAGTGCTTTGAAGACTTCGTTGAAAACGGGAATATCTTCACATGAAAAGTAGACGGAGTTATTCTCAGAAACAACTTTGTGATGTGTGCATTTAACTCTCAGAATTGAACACTCCTTTTGATAAAGCAGTTTTGAAACACTCTTTTTGTTGCATCTAAAAGTGGATATTTGCATCCCTGTAAGGCCTCTGGAAGAAAAGGCAATTTCTTTATATAAAAACTAGAAAGAAGGATTCTCAGAATCTAGTTTCTGATGTGTGCATTCAACTCACAGATTTCAAGCTTTCTTTTGATAGAGCAGTTTTGAAACACTTTTTGTGGGATCTGCAAGTGGATATTTCGACTGTTTTGAGGTATTCGTTGAAAACGGGAATATCTTCACATAAATACCATACAGAAGCATTCTCAGAAACATCTTTTGGATGTTTGCATTCAACTAACAGAGTTGACCATGTCCTTTTTTTTATTATTATACTTTAAGTTTTAGGGTACATGTGCACATTGTGCAGGTTAGTTACATATGTATACATGTGCCATGCTGGTGCGCTGCACCCACTAAGTCGTCATCTAGCATTAGGTATATCTCCCAGTGCTATCCCTCCCACCTCCCCCCACCACACAACAGTCCCCAGAGTGTGATAGTCCCCGTCCTGTGTCCATGTGATCTCATTGTTCAGTTCCCACCTATGAGTGAGAATATGCGGTGTTTGGTTTTTTGTTCTTGTGATAGTTTACTAAGAATGATGATTTCCAATTTCATCCATCTCCCTACAAAGGACATGAACTCATCATTTTTTTATGGCTGCATTGTATTCCATGGTGTATATGTGCCACATTTTCTTAATCCAGTCTATCATTGTTGGACATTTGGGTTGGTTCCAAGTCTTTGCTATTGTGAATTATACCGCAATAATCATACGTGTGCATATGTCTTTATAGCAGCATGATTTATAGTCCTTTAGGTATATAATAAGTAATGGGATGGCTGGGTCAAATGGTATTTCTAGTTCTAGATCCCTGAGGAATTGCCACACTGACTTCCACAATGGTTGAACTAGTTTACAGTTCCACCAACAGTGTAAAAGTGTTCCTATTTCTCCACATCCTTTCCAGCACCTGTTGTTTCCTGACTTTTTAATGATTGCCATTCTAACTGGTGTGAGATGGTATCTCATTCTGGTTTTGATTTGCATTTCTCTTATGGCCAGTGATGATGAGCACTTTTTCATGTGTTTTATGGCTGCATAAATGTCTTCTTTTGAGAAGTGTCTGTTCATGTCCTTCACCCACTTTTTGATGGGGTTGTTTGTTTTTTTCTTGTAAATTTGTTTGAGTTCATTGTAGATTCTGGATATTAGCACTCTGTCAGATGAGTAGGTTGCGAAAATTTTCTCCCATTTTGTGGTTGCCTGTTCACTCTGATGGTAGTTTCTTTTGCTGTGCAGAAGCTCTTTAGTTCAATTATATCCCATTTGTCAATTTTGTCTTTTGTTGCTATTGCTTTTGGTGTTTTAGACATGAAGTCCTTGCCCATGCCTATCCCCACAGCCAACATCATACTGAATGGGCAAAAACTGGAAGCATTCCCTTTGAAAACTGGCAAAAGACAGGGATGTCCTCTCTCACCACTCCTATTCAACATAATGTTGGAAGTTCTGTCCAGGGCAATTAGGCAGGAGAAGAAAATAAAGGGTATTCAATTAGGAAAAGAGGAAGTCAAATTGTCCCTGTTTGCAGAAGACATGATTGTATATCTAGAAAACCCCTTGCCTCAGCCCAAAATCTCCTTCAGCTGATAAGCAACTTCAGCAAAGTCTCAGGATACAAAATCAATGTACAAAAATCACAAGCATTCTTATACACCAACAACAGACAAACAGAGAGCCAAATCATAAGTGAACTCCCATTCACAATTGCTTCAAAGAGAATAAAATACTTAGGAATCCAACTTACAAGGGATGTGAAGGCCCCTTAAAGGAGAACTACAAACCACTGCTCAAGGAAATAAAAGAGGATACAAACAAATGGAAGATCATTCCATTGCTCATGGGTAGGTAGAATCAGTATCGTGAAAATGGCCATATTGCCCAAGGTAATTTACAGATTCAATGCCATCCCCATCACGCTACCAATGCCTTTCTTCACAGAATTGGAAAATACTACTTTAAATTTCATATGGAAGCAAAAAAGAGCCCGCATCACCAAGTCAACCTTAAGCCAAAAGAACAAAGCTGGAGGCATCACACTACCTGACTTCAAATTATACTACAAGGCTACAGTAACCAAAACAGCATGGTACTGGAACCAAAACAGAGATATAGATCAATGGAACAGAACAGAGCCCTCAGAAATAACGCTGCATATCTACAACTACCTGATCTTTGACAAAACCTGAGAAAAACAAGCAATGGGGAAAGGATTCCCTATTTAATAAATGGTGCTGGAAAACTGGCTAGCCATATATAGAAAGCTGAAACTGGATCCCTTCTTTACACCTTACACAAAAATCAATTCAAGATGGATTAAAGACTTAAACGTTAGACCTAAAACCATAAAAACCCTAGAAGAAAACCTAGGCATTACCATTCAAAACATGTCCTTCAATAGAGCAGTTTGAAGTAGTCTTTTGGTAGAATCTGCAATTAGATATTATGAGCGCTTTGAGGCCTATGGTATAAAAGGGTATATCTTTTTATAAAATCTAGATAGAACAATTCTCAGAAAATACTTTGTGATGTGTGCCTAAAACTCACAGAATTTAACCTTTCTTTTGATAGAGCAGTTTTGAAACACTCTTTTCACAGGATCTGCAGGTGGATAATTGGAGTCTTTTGAAGCCTTCGTTGGAAACGGGAATATCTTCACCTAAAAACCGGACAGAAGCATTCTCAAAAACTGCTTTGTGAGGTGTGCATTCAACTCACAGAGTTTAAGCTATCTTTTGACAGAGCAGTTTTGAAACTCTCTTATTGTACAATCTGCAAGTGGACATTTGGAGCACTTTGAGGGCTATGGTGGAAAAGGAAATATCTTCACATAAAAACTAGACGGAAGCATTCTCAGAAACTTCTTGTGATGTTTGCGTTCAACTCAGAGAGTTAAACATTTCTATTGCTGGAGCAGTTATGAAACACTCTTTTTGTAGAATCTGCAAGTGGATATTTTGACCACTTTGTGTCCTTCATTGTAAACGGGAATATTTTTACATAAAAACTGGACAGAAGCATTCTCAGAAACTTCGTTGTGATGTGTGCATTCAACTGTCAGAGTTGAACCTTCCTTTTGATTGAGCAGTTTTAAAACAGCTTTTGGTGGTATCTACAACTGCATATTTGCTGTGTTTTGAAGCCTTCGTTGGAAACGAAAATGTATTCACTTAAAAACTAGACAGAAGCATTCTCAGAAACTTCCTTGTGATGTGTGCCTTCAACTCGCAGAGTTGAACACTTCTTTTGATAGAGCAGTTTTGGAACACTCTTTCTGTAGAATCTACACGTGGATATTTTGAGCCCTTTAAGGCCCCTTGTAGAAAAGGCAATTTCTTTACATAAAAACTAGAAAGAAGCATTCTCAGAATCTAGTTTCTGATGTGTGCATTTAACTCACAGATTTTAACCTGTCTTTTGATTGAACAGTTTAAGATTGAACCTGTCTTTTGATTGAACAGTTGCATTCAACTCAGAGAGTTAAACATTTCTTTTGCTAGAGCAGTTTTGAAACACTGTTTTTGTAGAATCTGCAAGTGGATATTTTGACCGCTTTTTGTCCTTCGTTGGAAACGGGAATATCTTCACAAAAAAACTGGACAGAAGCATTCTCAGAAACTTCCTTGGGATGTGTGCATTCAACTCACAGAGTTGAAACTTCCTTTTGATAGAGTAGTTTTGAAACACTCTTTTAGAGTATCTGCAAGTGTATATTTGGAGTGCTTTGAAGCCTTCGTTGAAAACGGGAATATATTCACATGAAAACTAGACAGAATAATTCTCAGAAACTTCATTGTGATCTGTCCATTCAACTCACAGAGTTGAACCTTCCTTTTGATAGAGCAGTTTTGAAACACTCTTTTTGTAGTATATGCAAGTGAATATTCGGAGTGCATTGAAGCCTTCTTTGGACACGGGAATATCTTCACATAAAAAGTAGACAGAAGGATTCTCAGAAACTACTTTTTGATGTGTGCCTTCAACTCACAGAGGTGAACACTTCTTTAGATAGAGCAATTTTGAAACACTCTTTTTATAGAATCTGTAAGTGGATAATTGCAGTACTTTGAAGTCTTCATTGGAAAAGTCTATATCTTCACATGAAAACTAGACAGATGCATTCTCAGAAACTTCTTTGTGATGTGTGCATTCAACTCACGGAGTGGAACCTTCCTTTTGATGGAGAGGTTTTGAAACACTCTTTTGGTAGAATCTGTAAGTGGATACTTGGAGCGCTTTGAGGCCTTTAGTAGAAAAGGAAATAACTTCATATAAAAATTAGTCTGAAGCATCCTCAGAAACTACTCTGTGATCTGTGCTTAGAACTCACATAATTTAACCTTTCTTTTGATAGAGCAGTTTTGAAACCCTCTTTTTGTAGGATCTGCAAGTGGATAATTCGTATGCTTTGAAGCCTTCTTTGGAAAAGGGAACATCTTCACCTAAAAACCAGACAGAAGCATTCCCAAAAACTAGTTTGTGATGTGTGCATTCAGTTCACAGAGTTTAACCTATCTTTTGGCAGAGTAGTTTAGAAACACTCTTATTGCAGAATCTGCAAGTGGACATTTGGAGCACTTTGATGGCTGTGGTGGAAAAGGAAATATCTTCACATTAAAACTAGACAGAAGCATTCTCAGACACTTCTTTGTGATGTTTGCATTCAACTCAGAGAGTTAAATATTTATTTTGCTAGAGCAGTTTTGAAACACTCTTTTTGTAGAATCTGCAAGTTGATATTTTGACCTCTTTGTGTCCTTTGTTGGAGAAGGGAATATCTTCACATAAAAACCTGACAGAAGCATTCTCAGAAACTTCCTTGTAACGTGTGCATTCACCTCACAGAGTTAAGCCTTTCTTTTGAGAGAGCAGTTTTGAAACACTCTTTTTGTTGTATCTGCAAGTGGATACTTGGAGTGATTTGAAGCCTTCATTGGAAACGGGAATATAGTCACATAAAAACTAGACAGAAGCATTCTCAAAAAATTCCTTGTGATGTGTGCATTCAACTCACAGCGTTGAACTCTCCTTTTGAGAGAGCAGTTTTGAAACACTCTTCTGGTAGTATCTGCACGTGTATATTTGGAGTGCTTTGAAGCATTCGTTGGAACAGGAATATATTCAGATAAAAACTAGACAGAAGAATTCTCATAAACTTCCTTGTGATGTGTGCATTGAACTCACAGGTTTGAACCTTCCTTTTGATAGAGAAGTTTTGAAACACTCTTTTTGAAGGATGTGCAGGTGGATAATTGGAGTTCTTTGAAGCCTTCGTTGGAAACGGGAATATCTTCACCTAAATACTAGACAGAAACATTCTCCAAAACTACTTTGTGATGCGTGCATTCAACTCACAGAGATTAACCTATCTTTTTACAGAGGAGTTTTGAAACACACTTATTGTAGAATCTGCAAGTGGACATTTGGAGCACTTTGAGGGCTGTAGTGGATATGGAAATATCTTCACATAAAAACTAGACAGAAGCATTCTCAGAAACTGCTTGTGATGTGTGTACTCAACTCACAGAATTGAACCTCTCTTTAGATACAGCAGTTTTGAAACACTCTTTTTGTAGAATCTGCAAGTGGATATTTTGACCCTTTGTGTCCTTCATTGGAAACGGGAATATCTTCATATAAAAACTGGACAGAAGCATTCTCAGAAACTTCTTTGTGATGTATGCATTCAACTCACAGGGTTAAACCTTCCTTTTGATAGAGCAGTTTTCAAACACTCTTTTTATAATATCTGCAAGTGGATATTTGGAGTGCTTTGAAGCCTTCGTTGGAAACGGGAATATAGTCACATAAAAACTAGACAGAAGCATTCTCAGAAACTTCCTTGTGATGTGTGCATTCAACTCACAGAGTTGAACCTTCCTTTAGATAGAGCAGTTTTGAAACACTCTTTTTGTAGTATCTGCAAGTGGATATTTGGAGTCCTTTGAAGCCTTCTTTGGAAACGGGAATACCTTCACATAAAAAGTAGACAGAAGCTTTGTCAGAAACTTTTTTTGTGATGTGTGCATTCAACTCACAGAGTTGAACCTTCCTTTTGATAGAGCAGCTTTGAAACACTCTTTTTGTAGAATATGCAAGTGGATATTTTGACTGATTCGAGGAATTCGTTGGAAACGGGAACATCTTCACATAAAAAATGGACAGAAGTATTCTCAGAAACTACTTTGTGATGTGTGCATTCAACTCACAGAGTTGAACACTCCTTTTGATAGAGCAGTTTTGAAACACTCTCTTTGTAGTATCTACATGTGGATATTTGCATCCCTTTAAGGCCTCTGGTAGAAAAGGCAATTTATATTAAAACTAGAAAGAAGCATTCTCAGAAACTAGCTTCTGATGTGTGCACTCAACTCACAGATTTTAACATTTTTTTTGATAGAGCAGTTTTGAAACACTCTTTTTGTAGAATCTGCAAGTGGATATTTTGACCGCTTTTTGTCCTTCGTTGGAAACGGGAATATCTTCACATTAAAACTGGACAGAATCATTCTCAGAATCTTCCTTGTGATGTGTGCATTCAATTCCCAGAGTTGAACCTTCCTTTTGATAGAGCAGTTTTGAAGCACTCTTTTTGCAGTATCTGCAAATGTATATTTTGAGTTCTTTGAAGCGTTTGTTGGAAACGGGAATATATTCACATAAAAACTAGGCAGAAGCATTCTCAGAAAGTTCCTTGTCATGCACGCATTCAACTCACAGAGTTGAACCTTTCTTTTGAAGAGCAGTTTTGAAACACTCTTTTTGTAGTATCTGCAAGTGTATATTTGGAATGCTTTGAATCCTTCATTGGAAATTGGAATATATTCACATAAAAGTTAGACAGAAGCATTCTCAGAAAATTTTTTGTGATATGTGCATTCAACTAACAGTGTTTAACCTTCCTTTTGATAGAGCATTTTTGAAACACTCTTTTTGTTGATTCTTCAAGGGGATAATTGGAGTACTTTGAAGTCTTCATTGGAAACGGCTACATTTTCATATCAAAACAAGGCAGATGCATTCTCAGAAAGTTTTCTGTGATGTGCCCATTGAACTCACAGAGATGAGCCTTCCTTTTGATAGAGCTGTATTGAAAGACTCTTTTTGTAGAATCTGCAAGTGGATTTTTTGAGCGCTTTTTGTCCTTCTTGGAAACGGGAATATCTTCAGATAAAAACAGGACAGAGGCATTGTCAAAATCTTCCTTGTGATGTGGGCAATCAACTCAGAGAGTTGAACCTTCCTTTTGATAGAGCGGTTTTGAAACACTCTTTCTGTAGTATCTGCAAGTGGATATTTGGAGTGGTTTGAAGCCTTCGTTGGAAATGGGAATATACTCAGATTAAAAACTAGACAAAAGCATTCTGAGAAACTTCTTTGTGATGTATGCATTCAACTCACAGTGTTGAAACTTCCTTTTGATAGAACAGTTTTGAAACACTCTTTTTGTAGAATCTACACATGGATATTTGCATCCGTTTAAGGCCTCTGGTAGAAAAGGCAATTTCTTTATATAAAAACTAGAAAGAAGCATTCTCAGAAACTAGCTTCTGATGTGTGCCTTCAATTCACAGATTTTAACATGTCTTTTGATATAGCAGTTTTGAAACACTCTTTTTGTAGAATCTGCAAGTGGATATTTTGACCGCTTTCTGTAGTTCGTTGTAAACGAGAATATCTTCACATAAAAACTGGACAGAAGCATTCTCAGAAAGTTCCTTGTGATGTGTGCATTCAACTCTCAGAGTTGAACCTTCCTTTTGATAGAGCAGTTTCGAAACACTCTTTTTGCAGTATCTGCCAGTGTATATTTTGAGTTCTTTGAAGTCTCTGTTGTAAATGGGAATATATTCACAGAAAAACTAGACAGAAGCATTCACAGAAACTTACTTGTCATGCACACATTCAACTCACAGAGTTGGACCTTTCTTTTGATAGAGAAGTTTTTAAACACTCGTTTTGTAGTATCTGCAATTGAATATTTGGAGTACCTTGAAGCCTTCGTTGGAAACGGGAATGTAGTCACATAAAAACTAGACAGAAGCATTCTCATAAACTTCCTTATGATGTGTGCATTGAACTCACAGATTTTGAACCTTCCTTTTGATAGAGGAGTTTTGAAACAGTCTTTTTGAAGGATCTGCAAGTGGATGATTGGACTGCTTTGAAGTCTTCATTGGAAAGAGGAATATCTTCACCTAAAAACTACACAGAAGCATTCTCAAAAACTACTTTGTGATGTGTGCATTCAACTCACAGAGTTTAACATATCTTTTGATAGAACAGTTTTGAAACACTCTTATTGTAGAATCTTCAAGTGGACATTTAGAGCACTTTGAGGACTATGGTGGAAAAGGAAATATCTTCATATAAAAACTAGGCAGAAGCATTGTCAGAAACTTCCTTATGATGTGTGCATTCAACCCACAGAGTTGAAACTTGCTTTTGATAGAGCAGTTTTGAAACACTCTTTTTGTAGAATCTGCAAGTGGATATTTCTATTGGTTAGAGGCCTTCGTTGGAAACGGGAATATCTCCACATAAAAACTAGATGGAAGCATTCTCAGAAATTTCTTTGTGATGTGTGCATTCCACTCACAGAGTTTAACCTTCCTTTTGTTAGAGCAGTTTTGAAACACTCTTTTTTTTAGTATATGAAAATGGATTTATGGAGTGCTTTGAAGCTCTCGTTGGAAATGGGAATATCTTCACATAAAAAGTAGACAGAAAGATTCTCCGAAACTACATTGTGATGTGTGTTTTCAGCTCACAGAGTTTAACCCATCTTTTGACAGAGCAGTTTTGAAACACACTTATTGTAGAATCTACAAGTGGACATTTGGAGCACTTTGAGTGCTATGGTGGAAAAGGAAATATCTTCACATAAAAACTAGACAGAAGCATTCTCAGAAACTTCTTGTGATGTTTGCATGCAACTCAAAGAGTTAAACCTTTCTTTTGCTAGAGCAGTTTTGAAACACTCTTTTTGTAGAATCTGCAAGTGGATATTTTGAGTGCTTTGTGTCCTTCATTAGAAACGGGAATATCTTCACATAAAAACTGGACAGAAGCATTCTCAGAAACTTCTTTGTTATGTGTGCATTCAACTCACAGAGTTGAACCTTCCTTTTAATAGAGCTGTTTTGAAACACTCTTTTTATAGTATCTGCAAGTGTATATTCGGAGTGCTTTGAAGCCTTCGTCGGAAATAGGAATATATTCCCATAAAAACTAGACAGAAGCATTCTCAGAAACTTCCTTGTGATGTGTGCATTTAACTCACACAGTTGAACCTTCCTTTTGATAGAGCAGTTTTGAAACACTCTTTTTGTAGAATCTGCAAGTGTATAATTGGAGCACTTTGAAGTCTTCATTGGAAATGCTTACATATTCACATGAAAACAAGACAGATGCATTCTCCGAAACTTCTTTGTGATGTGTGCATTCAACTCACAGAGTTGAACCTTCCTTTTGATAGAGCAGCTTTGAAACACTCTTCTTGTAGAATATGCTAGTGTATATATGGAGTGCTTTGAAGCCTTCATTGGAAACGGGAATATCTTTACATAAATAGTAGACAGAAGCATTCTCAGAAACTACTTTGTGATGAGTGCATTCAGCTCACAGTGTTGAACACTCCTTTTGATAGAGCAGCTTTAAAACACTCTTTTTGTAGAATCTGAAAGTGGACTTTGGAACACTTTGATGGCTATGGTGGAAAAGGAAATATCTTAAAATATTTGCATCCCTTTAAGGCCTCTTTTAGAAAAGGCAGTATCTTTATATAAAATCTAGAAAGAAGCATTGTCAGAAAGTAGCTTCTGATGTGTCCATTTAACTCACAGATTTTAACATTTCTTTTGATAGAGCAGTTTTGAAACTCTCTTTTTTGTAGAATCTGCAAGTGGCTATTTTGACTGCTTTGAGTAATTCGTTGGAAACGGGAATATCTTCACTTAAATACCAGACAGAAACATTCTCAGAAACTTCTTTGTGATGTTTGCATTCAATTCACAGTGTTGCATCTTTCTTTTCGTAGAGCAGTTTTAAAACACTCTTTTGGCAGTATCAGCAATTGGATATTTGGAGCGTTTTGAGGCCTACAGTGGAAAAGGAATTATTTTCATATAAAAACTAGACAGAAGCATTCTCAGAAACTACTTTTTGATGTGTGCTTACAACTCACAGAATTTAACCTATCTTTTGATAGAGCAGTTTTAAACACTCTTTTTATAGAATCTGCAATTTGATAATTGGAGTGCTTTGAAGTCTTTGTTGGACACGAGAATATCTTCACCTAAAATTAGACTGAAGCATTCTCAAAAACTCCTTTGTGATGTGTGCATTCAACTCACAGAGTTGAACCTTCCTTTTGACAGAGCTGTTTTGAAGCACTCTCATCGTAGAATCTGAAAGTGGACATTGGAACACTCTGATGGCTATGGTGGAAAAGGAAATATCTTAACATAAAAACTAGGCAGAAGCATTCTAAGAAACATCTTTGGGATGTTTGCATTCAACTCAGAGAGTTGAACTTTTTTTTGTTAGAGCAGTTTTGAAACATTCTTTTTGTAGAATCTGTAAGTGGATATTTTGACCGCTTTGTGTCCTTTATTGGAAACGGGAATATCTTCACATAAAAACTGGACAGAAGCATTCTCAGAAACTTCCTTGTTATGTGTGCATTCAACTCACAGAGTTGAACCTTCCTGTTGATAGAGCAGTTTTGAAACACTCTTTTTGCAGTACCTGCAACTGTGTATTTTGAGTTCTTTGAAGCCTTTGTTGGAAACGGGAATATATTCACATAAAAACTAGACAGAAGCATTCTCAGAAGCTTCCTTGTCATGCACACATTAAACCCACAGAGTTGAACCTTCCTTTTGAAAGAGCAGTTTTGAAACACCCTTTTTCTAGTATCTGCAAGTGTATATTTGGAGTGCTTTGAATCCTTCATTGGAAATGGGAATATATTCACCTAAAAGTTAGACAGAAGCATTCTCGGAAACTTTTTTGTGTTGTGTGCATTCAACTTACAGAGTTTAACCTTCCTTTTGATAGGGCAGTTTTGAAACATTCTTTTTGTTGAATCTGCAAGTGGATAATTGGAGTACTTTGAAGTCTTCATTGGTAATGGCTACCTCTTCACATAAAAACAAGACAAATGCATTCTCAGAAACTTTTTTATGATGTGCCCACTCATCTCACAGGTTGAACTTTCCTTTTGATAGAGCGGTATTGAAAGACTCTTTTGGTAGGACCTGCAATTGGATTTTTTGAGCGCTTTGTGTCCTTCGTTGGAAACGGGAATATCTTCACAGAAAAACAGGACAGAAGCATTCTCAGAAACTTCCTTGTGATAGGTGCACTCAACTCACGAAGTTGAAACTTCCTTTTGATAGAGCAGTTTTGAAACACTCTTTTTGTAGTATCTGCAGGTGGATATTTAGAGTGGTTTGAAGCCTCCATTGGATACGGGAATATATTCACATTAAAAACTAGACAGAAGCATTCTCAGAAACTTCCTTGTGATGTGTGCATTCAATTCAGAGAGTTGAAATCTCCTTTTGATAGAGCAGTTTTGAAACACTCTTTTTGTAGAATCTGCAAGTGGAGATTACTAGTGGTTAGAGGCCTTCATTGGAAACGGGAATATCTCCACATAAAAACTAGACAGAAGCATTCTCAGAAATTTCTTTGTGATGTGTCCTTTCCACTCACAGAGTGGAACCTTCCTTTTGTTAGAGCAGTTTTGAAACACTCTTTTTGTGTATATGCAAGTGGATATATGGAGTGCTTTGAAGCCTTCGTTGGAAAAGGGAATATATTCACTTAAAAACTAGATGGAAGCATTCTCAGAAACTCCCTTGTAATGTGTGCATTCAACTCACAGAGTTGAACCTTACTTTTGATAGAGCAGTTTTGAAACACTCTTTTTGTAGAATCTGCAAGTGTATATTTGGAGTGCTTTGAAGCCTTCGTTGGAAACTGGAATATACTCACATAAAAACTAGACAGAAGCATTCTCAGAAACCTCTTTCTGATGTGCGCATTCAACTCACAGATTTGAACCTTCCTTTTGATAGAGCAGTTTGGAAACACACTTTTTGTATAATCTGCAAGTGGATATTTCCAGTGGAGAGAAGCCTTCGTTGGAAAAGGGAATATCTCCACGTAAAAAATAGACGGAAGCATTCTCAGAAACTTCCTTGTAATGTGTGCATTCAACTCACAGAGTTGAACCTTCCTTTTGATGGAGCAGATTTGAAACACTCTTTTTGTAGAATATGCAAGTGGATATTTGGAGTGCTTTGAAGCCTTCGTTGGAAACGGAAATATTTTCACATAAAAAGTAGACAGAAGGATTCTGAGAAACTACTTTGTGATGAGTTCTCCTTTTGATAGAGCAGTTTTGAAACACTCTTTTGTATAATCTACACGTGGATATTGGGATCCTTTTAACGCCTCTGGTAGAAAAGGAAATTTCTTTATATAAAAACTTGAAAGAAGCATTCTCATAATCTAGTTTCTGATGTGTGCATTCAACTCACAGATTTTAACCTTTCTTTTCATAGGGCAGTTTTGAAACACTATTTTTGTAGAATCTGCAAGTGGATATTTTGACTGCTTTGAGGAATTTCTTGGAAATGGGAATATCGTCACATAAATACCAGACAGAAGCATTCTCAGAAACTTCTTTGTGATGTTTGCATTCAACTCACAGAGTTGGACCTTTCTTTTCATAGAGCTGTTTTGAAACACTCTTTTAGTTGAATCTGCAATTGGATATTTGGAGCGCTTTGTGGCCGATTGTAAAAAAAGTAATATCTTCAAATAACAACTAGACAGAAGCATTCTCAGAAACCAGGTTGTGATGTGTGCTTACAACTCACAGAATTTAACCTTTCTTTTGATAAAGCAGTTTAGAAACCCTCTTTTTGTAGGATCTGCAAGTGGATAATTGCAGTGCTTTGAAGCCTTCGTTGGAAATGGGAATATCTTCACATAAAAACTAGACAGAAGCCTTCTCAAAAACTACTTTGTGATGTGTGCATTCAGTTCACAGAGTTTAACCTATCTTTTGACAGAGCAGTTTTGAAACACTCTTAATGTAGAATCTGCAAGTGGACATTTGGAGCACTTTGAGGGCTATGGTGGAAAAGGAAATATCTTCACATAAAAACTAGACAGAAGCATTCTCAGAAACTTCTTTGTGATGTTTGCATTCAACTCAGAGAGTTAAACATTTCCTTTGCTAGAGCAGATTTGAAACACTCTTTTTGTAGAATCTGCAAGTGGATATTTTGACCCTTTGTGTCCTTCGTTGGAAACGGGAATACCTTCACATAAAAACTGGACGGAAGGATTCTCAGAAACTTCCTTGTGATGTGTGCATTCAACTCACAGAGTTGAACCTTCCTTTTGATAGAGCAGTTTTGAAGCACTCTTTTTGTAGTAACTGCAAGTGTATATTTGGAGTGCTTTGAAGCCTTCACTGGAAACCGGAATATATTCACATAAAAATTAGACAGAAGCATTCTCAGAAATTTCCTTTTGATGTGTGCATTCAACTCACAGAGTTGAACCTTCCTTTTGATAGAGCATTTTTGAAACACTCTTTTTGTGGAATCTGCAAGTGTTTAGAGGCCTTCGTTGGAAACGGGAATATCTCCACATAAAAACTGGACTGAAGCATTCTCAGAAACTTCCTTGTGATGTGTGCATTCAACTCAGAGAGTTGAAATCTTCTTTTGATAGAGCAGTTTTTAAACCTCTTTTTGTAGAATCTGCAAGTGGGTATTACTAGTGGTTAGAGGCCTTCGTTGGAAATGGGAATATCTCCACATAAAAACTAGACAGAAGCATTCTCAGAAATTTCTTTGTGATGTGTGCATTCAACTCACAGATTTGAGCCTTCCTTTGGTAGAGCAGTTTGGAAACACTCTTTTTGTAGAATGTGCAAGTGGATATTTCTAGTGGTGAGAAGCCTTCGTTGAAATGGGAATATCTCCACAGAAAAAATTGACAGAAGCATTCTCAGAAACTTCTTTGGGATGTGTGCATTCAACTCACAGATTTGAACCTCCTTTTGATAGAGCAGATTTGAAACACTGTTTTTGTAGAACATGCAGGTGGATATTTGGAATGCTTTGAAGCCTTCGTTGGAAACGGGAATATCTTCACATAAAAAGTAGACAGAAGGATTCTGAGAAACTACTTTGTGACGAGTGCATTCAACTCACAGAGTTTGCACTCGTTTTGATAAAGCAGTTTTGAAACCCTCTTTTTGTAGAATCTACACGTGGATATTTGGATACATTTAAGGCCTCAGGTAGAAAAGGAAATTTCTTCATGTAAAAATTAGAAAGAGGCATTCTCAGAATCTAGTTTCTGATGTGTGCATTCAACGCACGGATTTTAACCTTTCTTTTGATAGAGCAGTTTTGAAACACTATTTTTGTAGATTCTGCAAGTGGATATTTTGACTGCTTTGACGAATTCATTGGAAACGGGAATATTGTCACATAAATACCAGACAAAAGAATTCTCAGAAACTTCTTTGTGATGTTTGCATTGAACTCAGAGAGTTGGACATTTGTTTTCATGGAGCAGTTTTGTAACACTCTTTTGGTAGTATCTGAAATTGGATATTTGGAGCTATTTGAGGCCTTTGGTAGAAAAACAAATATCTTTAAATAAAAACTACACAGAAGCATTATCAGAAACCAGTATGTGACGTGTGCTTACAACACACATAATTTAACTTTCCTTTGATAGAGCAGTTTTGAAACATTCTGTTTGTAATTTCTGCAAGTGGATAATGGAGTGCTTTGAAGCCTTCTTTGGAAACAGGGAATATCTTCACCTAAAAGGTAGACAGAAGAATTCTCAAAAACTACTTGGTGATGTGTGCATTCAACTTACAGAGTTTAACTATCTTTTGACAGAGCAGTTTTGAAACACTCTTATTGTAGAATCTGCAAGTAGACATTTGGAGCACCTAGAGGGCTGTGGTGGAAAAGGAAATATCTTCACATAAAAACTAAACAGAAGGACTCTCAGAAACTTCTTTGTGATGTTTGCATTCAACTAAGAGAGTTAAACATTTCTTTTGCTAGAGCAGTTTTGAAACACTCTTTTTGTAGAATCTGCAAATGGATATTTTGACCTCTTTGTTTCCTTCGTTGGAAACGGGAATATCTTCACATAAAAAGTGGACAGAAGCATCCTCAGAAACTTCCTTGTGATGTGTGCATTCAACTCGCAGAGGTGAACCTTCCTTTTGATAGAGCAGTTTTGAAACACTCTTTTTGTAGTGTCTGCAATTGGATATTTGGAGTGCTTTGAAGCCTTCATTGGAAAAGTGAATATATTCACATAAAAACTAGACTGAAGCATTCCCAGAAACTTCCTTTTGATGTGTACATTCAACTCACTGAGTTCAACCTTCCTTTGGATAGAGCAGTTTTGAAACACTCTTTTTGTAGAATATGCATGTAGATAATTGTAGAACTTTGAAGTCTTCTTTGGAAACGGCTATATCTCCACATAAAAACTAGACAGAAGCATTCTCAGAAATTTCTTTGCGATGTGTGCATTCAACTCACAGAGTTGAACCTTCCTTTTGTAGAGTAGTTTTGAAACACTCTTTTTGTAGAATCTGCAAGTGGCTATTTTGACCGCTTGGTGTCCTTCGTTGGAAACGGAAATGTCTTCACATAAAAACTGGACAGAAGCATTCTCAGAACCTTCCTTGTGATGTGTGACTTCAACTCACAGATTTGAACCTTCCTTTTGACAAAGCAGATTGGAAACACTCTTTTTGAAGTGTCTGCATTTGGATATTTGGAGTTCTTTGAAGCCTTCGTAGGAAACGGGAATATATTCACATAAAAACTAGACAGAAGCATTCCCAGAAACTTCCTTGTGATGTGTGTATTCAACTCACAGAGTTGAACCTTTCTTTTGGTAGAGCAGTTTTGAAACATTCTTTTTGTAGTATTTGCAAGTGTATATTTGGAGTGGTTTGAAGCCTTCGTTGGAAACGGGAATATATTCACATAAAAACTAGACAGAAGAATTCTCAGAAACTTCCTTGTGACGTGTGCATTCAACTCACAGAGTTGAACCTTCCTTTTGATAGAGCAGTTTGGAAACACTCTTTTTGTAGAATCTGCAAGTGGATATTTCTAGTTGAGATAAGCCTTCATTGGAAACGGGAATATCATCACATAAAATGTAGACAGAAAGATTCTGAGATACTACTTTGTGATGAGTGCATTCAACTCTCAGAGTTGAAATCTTCTTTTGATAGAGCAGATTTGCAACACTCTTTTTGTAGAATATGCATGAGGATATTTGGATCCCTTTAAGTCCTCTGGTAGAAAAGGCAATTGCTTTTTATAAAAACTAGAAAGAAGCATTCTCCGAATCTAGTTTCTGATGTGTGCATTCAATGCACAGATTTTAAACTTTCTTTGGATAGAGCAGTTTTGAAACACTCTTTTTGTAGAATCTGCAAGTGGATATTTTGACTGCTTTGAGGAATTCATTGGAAACGGGAATATCGTCACATAAATACCAGACAGAAGCATTCTCAGAAACTCCTTTGTGATGTTTGCATTCAACTCACAGAGTTGGTCCTTTCTTTTCATAGAGCAGTTTTGAAACACTCTTTTAGGAGAATCTGCAATTGGATATTTGGAGCGCTTTGTGGCCGATTGTAGAAAAAGTAATATCTTCAAATAAAAACTTGACAGAAGCATTCTCAGAAACCAGTTTGTGACGTGTGGTTACAACTCAACGAATTTAACCTTTGTTTTGATAGAGCAGTTTTGAAACACTATTTTTGTAGGATCAGCAAGTGGATAATTGGAATGCTTTGAAGCCTTCATTGGAAACGGGAATATCTTCACCTAAAAACTAGACAGAAGCATTCTCAAAAAGTACTTTGTGATGTGTGCATTCAACTCACAGGGTTAACCTAACTTTTGACAGAGCAGTTTTGAAACACTCTTAACGTAGAATCTGCAAGTGGACATTTGGAGCACTTTGAGGGCTATGGTGGAAAAGGAAATATCTTCACATAAAAACTAGACAGAAGCATTCTCAGAAACTACTTTGTGATGATTGCATTCAACTCAGAGAGTTAAACATTTCTTTTGCTAGAGCAGTTTTGAAACACTGTTTTTGTAGAATCTGCAAGTGGATATTTTGACCGCTTTTTGTCCTTCGTTGGAAACGGGAATATCTTCACAAAAAAACTGGACAGAAGCATTCTCAGAAACATCCTTGTGATGTGTGCATTCAACTCACAGAGTTGAAACTTCCTTTTGATGAGCAGTTTTGAAATACTCTTGTTGTAGTATCTGCAACTGTATATTTGGAGTGCTTTGAAACCTTCGTTGGAAACGGGAATATATTCACATGAAAACTGACAGAAGGATTCTCAGAAACTTCCTTGTGATGGGTGCATTCAACTCACAGAGTTGAACCTTCCATTTGTTAGAGCAGTTTTGAAACTTCTTTTTGTAGTATCTGCAAGTGTATATTTGGAGTGCTTTGAAGCCTTCATTGGAAACGGGAATATATTCACATAAAAACTAGACAGTTGCATTCTCAGAAACTACTTTGTGATGTGTGCATTCAACCCACAGAGTTGAACCTTCCCTTTGATAGAGCAGTTTTGAAACACTCTTTTTGTAGAATCTACACATGGATATTTGGATCCCTTTAATGCCTGTGGTAGAAAAGGAAATTTCTTTATATAAAAACTAGAAAGAAGCATTCTCAGAATTTTGTTTCTGATGTGTGCACTCAACGCACAGATTTTAACCTTTCTTTTGATAGAGCAGTTTTGAAACACTATTTTTGTAGAATCTGCAAGTGGATATTTTGACTGCTTTGAGGAATTCATTGGAAACGGGAATATCGTCAGATAAATACCAGACAGAAGCATTTTCAGAAACTTTATTGTGATGTTTGCATTCAACTCACAGAGTTGGACCTTTCTTTTCATAGAGCAGTTTTGAAACACTCCTTTTGTAGATCTACAAGAGGATGATTTGACCGCTTGGTGTCCTTTGTTGGAAAAATGAATGTCTTCAAATAAAAACTGGACAGAGGCATTCTCAGAGGCTTCCTTGGGATGTGTGCTTTCAACTCACTGAGTTGAACCTTCCTTTTGGTAGACCAGTTTTGAAACACTCTTTAAGAGGTATCTGCAAGTGTATATTTGGAGTGCTTTGAAGCCTTCGTTGGAAACGGGATTATATTCACATAAAAACTAGAAAGAAACATTCTCAGAAACTTCCTTGTGATGTGTGCATTCAACTCACAGAGTTGAAAATTCCTTTTGATAGAGCAGATTTGAAACACTCTTTTTGTAGTATCTGCAAATGTATATTTGGAGTGCTTTGAAGCCTTCATTGGAAACCGGAATATATTCAAATAAAAACTACACAATTGCATTCTCAGAAACTTCTTTGTGATGGGTGCATTCAACTCACAGAGTTGAACCTTCCTTTTGATAGAGCAGTTTTGAAACACTGTTTTTTTGTTTTTAGCAATGTATCAAATAATCTATTTTTTCAATGCATGTTTATGTTAACATAACAAAAGTCATATTGCATTTATTAATTTTACACTGTTTTTATCAATGATTGCCATAAATATTTGTTTGTTAAGTTCTTTGTGAATATTTTTAATTGTGTGTATTTTATTAATCATAATACATTCATGCATTTTCTCCTTGTTTGAATTTTACTTTGTATCCAAATTTTGTCAGTATGAAAAATGATGCAAACAAAAATATTCTTTTGCAAACATTTTGCCTGTATGTCTGGTTATCTTATTTCTTAAACTACTAATACAGCTTAAGCTGCATTCCCGAAGCTATTTATATAGATTACCAACTATGTCTGAAAAATAGAACTAATATTTAAAATTTAGAATGATTTTCTATACATTTGATATTAGCCAAAAGACCTATACATAAATGGAAATTCTCGTTCCCAGTTAGTAGTTTCTGGCTTCACAGTGAAACACTCTTTTTGTAGAATCTGCAACTGGATATTTCTGGTGGAGAGAAGCCTTCATTGGAAACGGGAATATCTCCACGTAAAAAATAGACAGAAGCATTCTCAGGAACTTCTTTGTGATGTGTGCATTCAACTTATAGAGATGAACCTTCCTTTTGATAGAGCAGATTTGAAGCACTCTTTTTGTAGAATATGCAAGCGGATATTTGGAGTGCTTTGAAGCCTTCTTTGGAAACGGGAATATCTTCACTTAAAAAGTAGACAGAAGGATTCTGAGAAACTACTTCGTGATGATTGCATTCAAATCACAGAGTTGAACACTCCTTTTGATAGAGCAGTTTTGAAACACTCTTTTTGTAGAATCTACACGTGAATATTTGGATCCCTTTAAGTCCTCTGGTAGAAAGGGAAATTTCTTTATGTATAAACTAGAAAGAAGCATTCTCATAATCTAGTTTCTGATGTGTGCATTCAACGCACATATTTTAACCTTTCTTTTGATAGAGCAGTTTTGAAACACTATTTTTGTAGAATCTCCAAGTGGATATTTTGACTGCTTTGAGGAATTCATTGGAAAAGGGAATATCATCACATAAATACCAGACAGAAGCATTCTCAGAAACTTCTTTGTGATGTTTGCATTCAACTCACAGAGTTGGACCTTTCTTTTCATAGAGCTGTTTTGAAACACTCTTTTAGTTGAATCTGCAATTGGATATTTGGAGCGCTTTGAGGTCTATGGAAGAAAAAGAAATATCTTCAAATAAAAACTAGACAGAAGAATTCTGAGAAACCAGATAGTGTTGTGTGCTTACAACTCACAGAATTTAACCTTTCTTTTGATAGAACAGCTTTGAAAAACTCTTTTTGTAGGACCTGCAAGTGGATAATTGGAGTGATTTGAAGCCTTCGTTGGAAACGGGAATATCTTCACCTAAAAACTAGACAGAATCATTCTCAAAAACTACTTTGTGATGTGTACATTCAACTCACAGAGTTAACCTGTCTTTTGACAGAGAAGTTTTGAAACTCTCTTAATGTAGAATCTGCAAGTGGACATTTGGAGCACTTTGAGGGCTATGGTGGAAAAGGAAATATCTTCACCTAAAAACTAGACAGAAACATTCTCAGAAAATACTTTGTGATGTTTGCATTCAACTCACACTGTTAAACATTTCTTTTGCTAGAGCAGTTTTGAAACACTCTTTTTGTAGAATCTGCAAGTGGATATTTTGACCGCTTTTTGTCCTTCATTGGAAACGGGTATATCTTCACATTAAAAACTTGACAGAAGCATTCTCAGAAACTTCCTTGGGATGTGTGCATTCAACTCACAGAGTTGAAACTTCCTTTTGATAGAGTAGTTTTGAAACACTCTTTTAGAGTATCTGCAAGTGTATATTTGGAGTGCTTTGAAGCCTTCGTTGAAAACGGGAATATATTCACATGAAAACTAGACAGAATAATTCTCAGAAACTTCATTGTGATCTGTCCATTCAACTCACAGAGTTGAACCTTCCTTTTGATAGAGCAGTTTTGAAACACTCTTTTTGTAGAATCTGCAAGTAGCTAATTAGAGTAATTTGAAGTCTTCATTGGAAAAGGCTATATCTTCATATAAAAATTAGACAGTTGAATTCTCAGAAACTTCTTTGTGATGTGTGCACTCAAATCAGAGAGTTGAACCTTCCTTTTGATAGAGCAATTTGGAAACACTCTTTTTGTTCAATCTGCAAGTGGGTATTTTTAGTGGAGAGGAGCCTTCATTGGAAACGGGAATATGTTCACATACAAACTGGACAGAAGCATTCCAAGAAACTTCCTTGTGATGTGTGCATTCAACTCACAGAGTTGAACCTTCCTTTTGATAGAGCAGTTTAGAAATACTCTTTTAGTACTATTTGCAAGTGTGTATTTGTAGTGCTTTGAAGCCTTCGTTGGAAACGGGAATATATTCACAAGAAAACTAGACAGAAGCTTTCTTAGAAACTTCCTTGTGATGTGTGCATTCAACTCACGGTGTTGAACCTTCCTTTTAATACAGCAGTTTTGAAACACTCTTTTTGTAGAATCTGCAAGTGCATATTTTGACCGCTTGATGTCCTTCATTGGAAACGGGAATGTCTTCACATAAAAACTGGACAGATGCATTCTCAGAAACTTACTTGTGATGTGAGTTCAACTCACAGAGTTGAACATTCCTTTTGATAGAGGACATTTGAAACACTTTTTTTGTACTATCTGCAGTTGGATATTTGGAGTGCTTGGAAGCCCTCGTTGGAAACGAGAATATATTCACTTGAAAACTAGACAGAAGCATTCTCAGACACTTCCTTGTGATGTGTGCATTCAACTCACAGAGTTGAACCTTCCTTTTGATAGAGCAGTTTTGAAATACTCTTTTTGTAGAATATGCAAGTGGATATTTGGAGTGCTTTGAAGCCTTCGTTGGAAACGGGAATATCTTCACATAAAAAGTAGTCAGAAGGATTCTCAGAAACTACTTTGTGATGGATGCATTAAACTCATATCTTTAAACACTCTTTTTGATAGAGCAGTTTTGAAACAAACTTTTTGTAGAATCTACACGTGGATATTTGGATCCCTTTAATGCCTCAGGTAGAAAAGGCAATTTCTTTGTATAACAACTAGAAAGAAGCATACTCTTAAACTCGTTTCTGATGTGTGCATTTAACCCACTGATTTTAACCTTTCTTTTGACAGAGCAGTTTTGAAACACTCTTTTTGTAGAATCTGCAAGTGGATATTTTGACAGGTTTGAGGAATTCGTTGGAAACGGGAATATCTTCACATAAATACCAGACTGGAACATTCTCAGAAACTACTTTGTGATATTGGCATTCAACTCACAGAGTTTAACCTTTCTGTTCAAAGAGGAGTTTTGAAACACTCCTTTGGTAGAATCTGCAATTGTTTATTTGGAGAGATTTCAGGCCTATTGAAGCAAAGGAAGTATCTTCATATAAAAACTAGACAGAAGCATTCTCAGGAGCTAATTTGTGATGTGTGCTTACAACTCACAGAATTTATTCTTTCTTTTGATAGAGTGGTTTTGAAACACTCTTTTAGTAGGATCTGCAAGTGGATAATTGGAGTGCTTTGAAGCCTTCTTTGGAAACGGTAATATCATCACTTAAAAACTAGACAGAAGCATTCTCAAAAGCTACTTTGTGATGTGTGCATTCAACTCACAGAGTTTAACTTATCTTTTGACCGAGCAGTTTTGAAACACCCTTATTGTAGAATCTGCAAGTGGACATTTGGAGCACTTTGAGGACTATGGTGGAAAAGGAAACATCTTCACATAAGAACTAGACAGAAGTATTCCCAGAAAGTTCTTGTGATGTTTGCATTCAACTTAGAGAGTTAAACATTTCTTTTGGTAGAGCAGTTTTGCAACACTCTTTTTGTAGAATCTGCAAGGGGATAATTTGACCGCTTTGTGTCGTTCGTTGGAAACGGGAATATCTTCACATAAAAACTGGACAGAAGCATTCTCAGAAAGTTCCTTGTGATGTGTGCATTCAACTCACAGAGTTGAACCTACCTTTTGATAGAGCAATTTGAAACACTCTTTTTGTAGTGTCTGCAAGTGTATATTTGGAGTGCTTTGAAGCCTTCTTTGGAAAAGGGAATATATTCACATAAAAACTAGACAGAAGCATTCTCAGAAACGTACTTTTGATGTGTGCATTCAACTCCCAGAGTTGAACCTTCCTTTTGATAGAGCAGTTTTGAAATACTCTTTTTGTAGAATCTTCAAGTGGATATTTCTTGTGGTTAGAAGCCTTCATTGGAAACGGGAATATCTCCACATAAAAACTTGACAGAAGCATTCTCAGAAACTCCTTTTTGATGTGTGCATTCAACTCACAGAGTTGAACCTTCCTTTTGATAGAGCAGTTTTGAAACACTCTTTTTGTAGAATATGCAAGTGGATATTTGGAGGGCTTTGAAGCCTTCGTTGGAAACGAGAATATATTCACATGAAAACTAGACAAAAGCATTGTCAGAAACTTCCTTGTGATGTGTGCATTCAACTCACAGAGATGAACCTTCCTTTTGATAGAGCAGTTTTAAAACACTCTTTTTGTAGTATCTGCAAGTGTATATTTGGATCGCTTTGAAGAATTCATTGGAAACGGGAATATATTCACATAAAAACTAGATAGAAGCATTCTCAGTAACTTCCTTTTGATGTGTGCATTCAACTCACAGAGTTGAAGCTTCCTTTTGATGGAGCAGTTTTGAAACAGATTTTGTGTAGAATCAGCTAGTGGATAACTGTAGTACTTTGAAGCCTTCATTGGAAACGGGTATATCTTCACATAAAAAAGAGACAGATGGATTCTCAGAAGAGTGTTTGTGATGTGTGCATTCAACTCACAGAGTTGAACCTTCCTTTTAATAGAGCAGTTTTGAAACACTCTTTTTGTAGAATATGCAAGTGAATATTTCTGATGGTCAGAAGCCTTCCTTGGAAACCGGAATAGCTCCACATAAGAACTAGATAGAACTATTCTCAGATACTTCCTTGTGATGTGTGCATTCAACTTACAGAGTTGAATCTTCCTTTTGATAGAACAGTTTTGAAGCACTCTTTTTGTACAATATGCAAGTAGATATTTGGAGTGCTTTGAAGCCTCGGTTGGAAATGGGAATATCTTCACATAAAAAGTAGACAGAAGGATTCTCAGAAACTAATTTGTGATGTGTGCATTCAACTCACAGAGTTGAACACTCCTTTTGATAGAGCAGTTTTGAAACAGTCTTTTTATAGTATCTGTCAGTGGATATTTGGAACGATTTGAGGCATGTGATGGAAGAGGAAATACCTACACATACAAACTAGACAGAAGCATTCTCAGAAACTGCTTTGTGATGTGCGCACTGAACTCAAAAAGTTGAACCTTCCTTTTGAGAGAGCAGTTATGAAACAGTCTTTTTGTAGTATCTGCAAGTGGATATTTGGAGAGATTTGAAGCTTGTGATGGAAAAGGGAATATCTTCACATAAAAAATAGAAAGAAGCATTCTCAGAATCTGCTTCGTGGTGTGTGCATTCACCTCATAGAGTGGAACCCTTCTTTTAATAGAGCAGTTTTGAAACAGTCTTTTTGAAGAATCTGCAAGTGTTCTTTTGGAGCGCTTTGAAGCCTACGGTAGAAAAGAAAATATCTTCACATAAAAACAAGATAGAAGCATTCTCAGGAACTTCTTTGAGATGTGTGCATTCAACTAAAAGAGTTGAATCCCTCTTTTGATAGAGCAGTATTGAAATACTGCTTTTGTAGAATCTGCTGGCGGATATTTTCAACTCCTTGAGGAATTCATTGGAAACGGATATCTTCACTTAAAAACTAGACCCAAGCCATCTCAGAAAGTTGTTTGTGATGTGTGCATTCAACTCACAGACTTGAACCTTTCTTTTGAAAGAGCAGTGTGGAAACACACTTTTTGTAGAATCTGCAAGTGTTCATTTGGAGCGCATTGTTGCCTATAGTGGAAAAAAAAAATCTTCACATAAAAACAAGACACAAGCATTCTCAGAAACTCCTTTGTGATGTGTGTGTTCAATTCACAGAGTTGAACCTTTCTTTTGATAGAGCAGTATTGAAACACTGTTTTTGTAGAATCTGCTTATGGATATTTGGAGTTCTTTGAGGAATTCGTTGTAAACGGGGTATCTTCACATTCAAACTAGACAGAAGCATTCTCAGAAACTACTTCTTGATGTGTGCCTGCAACTCATAGAGCTGAATCTTCTTTTGAGAGAGCAGTTTTGAAACAGTCTTTTCGTAGCATGTGCAAGTGGATATTTGGAGCGATTCAAGTCATATGAGGAAAAGGAAATATCTACACATACAAACTAGACAGAAGAATTTTCAGAAACTGCTTTGTATGTGTGCATTCAACTCACAGGGTTGAGCCTTTCTTTTGATAGAGCAGTGCTGAAACACACTTTTTGTAGAATCTGCAATTGTTCATTTTTAGCGCTTTGGGGCCCATGGTGGAAAAGGAAATATCTTCACCTAAAAATTAGACAGAAGCATTCTCAGAAACAACTTTGTGATGTGTGTTTTCAATTCACAGAGTTGAACCTTTCTTTTCGTAGAGCAGTATTGAAACACTGTTTTTGTAGAATCTGCTTGTGGATATTTTGAGTTATTTGAGGAATTCGTTGTAAATGGGATATCTTCACATTCAAACTAGACAGAAACATTCTCAGAAACTGCTTCTTGATGTGTGCCTTCAACTCATAGAGCTGAACCTTCCTTTTGAGAGAGCAGTTTTGAAACAGTCTTTTTGTAGTATCAGCAAGAGGATATTTGGAGCGATTTGAGTCATATGAGGAAAAGGAAATATCTACACATAAAAACTAGACAGAGGAATTCTCAGAAACTGCTTTGTGTTGTGTGCATTCAACTCACAGAGTTGAGCCTTTCTTTTGATAGAGCAGTGCTGAAGCACACTTTTTGTAGAATCTGCAATTGTTCATTTTTAGCGCTTTGGGGCATATGGTGGAAAAGGAAATATCTTCACATGAAAACTAGACAGAAGCATTCTCAGAAACACCATTGTGATATGCGTTTTCAATTCACAGAGTTGAACCTTTCTTTTGATAGAGCACTTTTGAAACACTGCTTTTTAAGGTTCTCCTAGTGGATATTTGGAGCTCTTTGAGGAATTCCTTGTAAACGTGGTAACTTCACATACACGCTAGACAGAAGCATTCTCAGAAACTGCTTTGTGATGTGTGCACTCAACTCACAAAGTTGAACCTTCCTTTTGAGAGAGAAGATTTGAAACAGACTTTTTGTACTATCTGCAAGTGTATATTTTGAGTGATTTGAGGCTTATGATGGGAAAAGAAATATCTTCACATAAACACTAGTCAGAATCATTCTCAGAAACTGCTTTGTGATGTGTGCATTCACCTCACAGAGTGGAACACTTCTTTTCATATAGCAGTTTTGAAACAGTCCTTTTGTAGAATCTGCAACTGTTCATTTGGAGTGCTTTGAAGCCTATGGTGGAAAAGGTAATATATTCACATAAAAACTAGACAGAAGCATTCTCAGGAACTACTTTGAGATGTGTGCATTCAACTAAAAGAGATGAATCTACCTTTTCAAAGAGCAGTATTAAAATAATCTTTTTTCAGAATCTGCTTGTGTATATTTGGAACTCTATGAGGAATATGTTGGAAACAGTTACCTTCACATAATATATAGACAGAAGCATTCTCAGAAACTGCTTTGTGATGTGTGCATTTATCTCACTGAGTGTAACCCTTCTTTTCATAGAGCAGTTTGGAAACAGTCTTTTTGTAGAATCTGCAAGCGTTCATTTGGAGCGCTTTGGGGTGTAAGGTGGAAAAGAAAATATTTTCATATAAAAAACAGACATAAGCTTTTTCAGAAACACCTTTGTGATCCGTGTGTTCAATTCAGAGTTGAACCTTTCTTTTGATAGAGCTGTTTTGAAAAACTGCTGTTAAAGTTTCTACTAGTGGATACTTGGAGCTCTTTGAGTTAATCTCTGTAAACAGGATATCTTCACATGAAAACTAGACAGAAGCATTCTCAAACACTGCTTTGTGATGAGCGCATTCATCTCACAGAGTTGAACCGTTCTTTGGATAGAGCAGTTTTGAAAGAGTCTTTTTGAAGTATCTGCAAGTGGATATTTGGAGCGATTTGAGGCATAAGACGGAAAAAGAAATATCTTCACATACAAACTAGACAGAGGCATTCTCAGAAACTGCTTTGTGATGTGTGCATTCAACTCACAGACTTGAACCTTTCTTTTGATAGAGCAGTGTTGAAACACACATTTTGAAGAATCTGCTTGTGGATATTTGGAGCGATTAGAGGCCTATGAAGGAAAAGGAAATATCTTCACCTACAAACTAGACAGAAGCGTTCTCAGAAACTGCTTTGTGATGTGTGCATTCACCTCACAGAGTGGAACCGTTCTTTGGATAGAGCAGTTTTGAAACAGTCTTTCTCTAGTATCTGCAAGGGTTCATTTTGAGCGCTTTGAGGCCCATGATGGAAAAGGAAATATTTTCACATAAAAACTAGACAGAAGCTTTCTCAGGAACTTCATTGAGATGTGTGCATGAAAGTAACTGAGTGGAATACATCTTTTGATAGAGCAGTATTGAAACACTTCTTTTGTAGAATCTGCCTGTGGATATCTGGAACTCTTTGAAGAATTC